>NC_000011.10:37787272-37938787 GCF_000001405.40 Homo sapiens | reverse complement strand
CAGTTTATAACTCTGGTATCAAATCTTCCCCACAGGTACCTGGACAAAATTCTTATTAGGCCATCCATTAAATGCTTATGTTACCATTGGCAAACTTGGCTCATCCTTTGGTGTTTTCACTCAGTTTTTGTATTTAGGTATCCCTCTGATTCATCAGTCACTAAGATAATTCTTGGGGAGATGTCCTGGAGTGAAGTAATTATACAAAATTATTAGATTTTTAGCCTTGAAGGCTGTTGTTAAAGACATAAAAACTATAACATGATCTATAGTACAATGCTATATTACTGAATAATTGTATATAAATGTCCAAAATGAACACAATAGTTAAACAACGGGAAATAGAATTTCACTTACAATGTACAAAATGTAAAGAAATGTGCAAAGACATGCCTACCAGGAAAAAATATTTAAACTTAAAAAAAATTCCACCAGGTATAGAATCTGGAGACTTACATTCTAAGTCTGGCTCTTCTATTTATTAGCTATAGAACCTCATGTAAGTAACTTGATGTGAGTATCCTAGTCACTGAGAATCATTTATTTATTTGGAAATCTCTGGGCTGAATTAAGTATGCCCTCCAATGCAAAAAAAGAAAAAGAAAAGTTCAGTAGAATATATTTTTTAAAAAAATTATGTAAGTAACTTTTATATTCTCTGTTGCTTATTTACTTGCAAGTAGAAAAGTAAACTCCAAGGTAAGATTGTCTTCATTGTCTTCTATTTCTATGCTAATTGCTTCTCTTTCATCTTGCTATTTATTTTGGATAATACATCATGGTATGATATTTACCAGTTTAGATATATTTTATAGTTTTATTGTGTCCTTGGATTTTAGACCAATTTTGCACAAATGAAGACCCTTAGGCACCCAGAAAAGTTACTTGCAGATTGTTGTGTTTGATATATCTCATACTATACCTATATGTATATTGTACCTATATCTATATTTATTTATATATAGGTATATATATGTATAGTATATATGCAACTATATATAATATATATGTTACTATATATATACTATATACATACTTATACATGCTATATGTTATACAGTATTATATATTATAACATAATCATATAAATTGTATTACTATAACAGCATATACATGAATGTATATGTACTTACATAAGTATAAGTATATATATTTATATATATATACTGAGTGTGTATATACTTACACTCAGCATATTTATAAATATACTTATACTTAATATATATATTCATATATACTTATACTTCCTTATGTAAGTGTATATACACTCATATATGTGCTTATATATACTCATATATATATTCATAACTATAGCTATCTCATCTGTCTCTCTGATTATAGAATTTACATTTAAGTTAATGGAAAAAATGTAACGCTTTATCCTAGAAGAAAAATTACGGGGTTAAAAACGAAGCTGGAAACCATCATTCTCAGCAAACTAATACAAGAACAGAAAACCACATGTTCTCACTCATAAGTGGGAGTTGAACAATGAGAACACATGGACCCAGGGAGGGAAACATCACACACTGGGGCCTGTTGTGTGGGTGAGGGGCTAGGGGAGGGATAGCATTAGGAGAAATACCTAATGTAGATGACGGCTTGATGGGTGCAGCAAACCACCATGGCACGTGTATATCTATATAACAAACCTGCACGTTCTGCACACGTATTCCAGAACTTAAAATATAATAAAAAAAATTTAAAAAAAGAAAATGCAAATCAAAACTGCAATGAGATACCATCTCACAACGTCAAAATGGTGATTATTAAAATGTCAGGAAACAATAGATGCTGGCGAGGCTGTGGAGAACTAGGAATGCTTTTACACTGTTGGTGGGAATGTAAATTAGTTCAACCATTGTGGAAGTCAGTGTGGTGATTCCTCAAGGATCTAGAACCAGAAATACCATTTGACCCAGCAATCCCATTACTGGGTATATACCGAAAGGAAAACAAATAATTCTACTATAAAGACACATGCACACGTATGTTTATTGCAGCACTATTTACAATAGCAAAGGCATGGAACCAACCCCAATACCCATCAATGATAGACTGGATAAAGAAAATGTGGTACATATATACCATGCAATACTATGCAGCCATAAAAATGAATGAGAACATATCCTTTGAAGGGACATGGATGAAACTGGAAGCCATCATCCTCAGCAAACTAACACATGAACAGAAAACCAAGCACCACATGTTCTTACATATAAGTGTGAGTTGAACAATGAGAACACATGGACACAAGGAGGTGGACAACACACACCAGGGCCATTCCTGGGCTCGGAGGGGTGGAGGGGAGGGAGAGCACTAGGACAAATAGTTAATGCATATGGGGCTTAAAACCTAGATGATGTGTTGATAGATGCAGCAAAAACAACTATGGCATACGTAGACCTATGTAACAAGTCTACACATTCTGTACTTGTATCCTGGAACTTAAAGTAAAATAAAATAAAATAAAATAAAATAAAATGGCTGAAGCTCTATTTAAAATCTATTATACCTGCAGCCAAACTCATTTCTAGAGAAAGTCTATCAAGCTGCACTGCCACTAAAAGCTTATGAGTGCCCATTTCACTGCATCCTCACCAACAATGAGTCTTTGATTTAATTAAGATATTTGTCATTTTCATAGGTGAAAAGAGAATAATTTCATTACATTGGGTTAATGAGAATGAATATTATTCAGTCTCTTCAGGCTTATGCAATACACTTATGACAGAAAAGTTAAAATGATGCCACTATGCTGTACTAATATCGATTGTATGACATAAAAGTAAGAGAAAGTTTCAGAATATTGTAACAGAGAGAAATAAAACAATATTTATTAGTTATGAGGGACTCAGTAGAACAGACATGCGACACTCAAAATAACAAAAGTAAAACATTCTGATATGTATACTAGAAAGACAATTTATACACTGATAAAATATAGTGGAATTTTCAAGAGGAGCAAGCATTATATACTACCTAAATGATTCAACAGATTTGAAAGAAATTACTATTGGATATAAATTACATTGTATATATAAAGAAAAAATTTTGTATATAAAAGAAAGATCTTATGATCATATTTTGTTGGTTTTATTTACATCACTCACAAGACTAAAATAAGCTGGCAACATTTTCCTGTATCCCTGACTATGTCTATCTCCTTTATGTGAACCTGGAGAGCCAGTGGATCCTCTCCTTGAATGTACTGAGATAGGCACAAAGTTTATTTCTGTGGCTATATTTTTTGGTGGCTGAAGAAAAATCCCCCTTCATTTTTTAGTATACTAGAATGTCTATCCAATCTGTATTCAATTATTGCCAGCTTTGGAGTCCTAGTTTGCATTTATTTTTAAAATGGCTTTGTATTTTCGTGTTCTAGTTAATTCTGCACTTATTTCACCTTTCAGATAGTAATTCATTTCTAAATTACTTCAAGGTCAAGGTTTCTCAATATACTTCTAGAGTACGGGAAAGACCGTCCACTTGAGAGGTTCTAGAGTAAATCCCTGGAGTTTAACTCTCAGCTTTAAGCCAGTAGTTTATATGACTTTGAACAATGCTGTCTCCTCTGACTTTCACTTTCCTCATCTGAAAACTGGATATAATAATGACCTCACTGAGTTTTGCTTAGAATAAATGAAACACTATTTCAATGATTCTCAAACCTGGGAGCATCTTAGAATTACTTGGGCATTGATATTTTTAAAACACCTTGGGTTATTTAGTGTGTGTCTGTCTTCTTAAATGACAAACTTGTACTTGCTAGGAAAAGTTCTGATTCTGCCAGCAAGTCTGTGGTCAGATTAGCCATAACTAATTTGGGATTCTTATTAGAAATATATACCTTTGGGTGCTGAATTTTTTATTTTTGGGGGTGATTTGCATTTTGGTATCTTAAGGCATTTTAATTTATGTTAAGATATCTATGTTGTAATCATTATTGCTTGTCACAAAATATGCAACATTTATTCCTGGGTAAAAAACAAATGTTTTTAATCCACTGGCAGGCTAGGTATACCCTCTTAACACCTCTGCCTAAATAGAGAAGGATGTCATTTTTGACCTTGGGCTAAAATCAGGAAAGGAATGAAATAGAGAAAAGCTTGGGATATTCAATCTGAATAGG
This sequence comes from Homo sapiens, assembly GCF_000001405.40. NCBI lineage: Eukaryota > Metazoa > Chordata > Mammalia > Primates > Hominidae > Homo > Homo sapiens. The sequence continues at coordinate 37,934,655 of NC_000011.10, read as the reverse complement.
CTACAGGAGACAATATCTAAATTATATGGAGTGCCTATTGTATACCATATAGCTCACAAAACAGTTGTACAATATATTTATACAATATAGCTACAGAAAACAGATATACAATATAGTTCCCAAATCTATATAACTATAATATAAAGTGATATTATTACCATGATTTAGTAGATGGAGAAATTAAGTTTCAGAGAAGTGAGTATATGGTCTACATAGATGATGGATTTTTCAATTCTATCTAACTACTACTTTGACCAATAATGCATTATCCTACATTAAATAGTGGGACATAACTAGAGAGACCAATTTTAAGAAAATAAAAACACTAACAAACATAGAACACTTTAACACTCTCAAAGGAAACATTTGAATCTCTTTAGCACCCATTAGAATTGATAGGAAGATAACTTTACTGATTTTAATAGTAGTGAAATGCTATGGATAACAATGTAATAAAACTTGAGGTTAATACCAAATAATGATGATATGATGCTATAAGAAAAAAAACAAATAAAACTATTTTAAACAACTTGTTATATCAAAAAGGAAATCCAAATTGAAATAGGGTAATTTAAAAAGTTACATGTTAAAATAGATGAGATATAGATAAAAGGGTTTTTAAGAGAAACTAAAAGCTGTATATATTTTTATTATGAAAAAATCAAATCCAAGACACTAAAAATATAATTAGGCATTGGAAAAGTAGAATGATCTGATTTTAACAAATGTAAATGCTGACATTAATGAATAACAAAACAAAAAGTGATAGAACTAATAAATTAAGAGATAACCCATTCCCAAAAATAGAAGGAACAACAACAGCAAAAATTATCTTCAAAGATAATGTCTAACCACACACAGGAAGACATCATATGAGACTATTATGTTCACATCTAGACAATTTTTTTTTGCAATGACTGAGCACCATGAAAAAACAAAACATCAAAATCAATCTTCAAAAAGATATCAAATCTAGATAGAACAATGCTTACAAATAGAAATAAAATTATCAACAGGCCATTTAATATGAGATTTCTACAAAATATTCTGAAAATATTAAGCCCCATGGCCATTTAAAGGGCTCCAGAAGAAAGGAAACATTAAAAAAAAGTACCCAATTATTTTATTCTAATATTATCTCAGTACCAAAATCCAACCAGGATTGTGCATTCTCACATACAGGCAGATATTCACACACACATGCAGACTTCCATGTGCATGCACACAGATTTCAGTTTCCATGCCTCCAATTAGAGAATGGCTATGTCATATAGAGCAAAAAATATATAAAGATCCGCATACAATAGTACATTATTCCTTACTCAATAAAAGCTCATTTCTTGCTCTTGTTAAAGAACTTAGCAAGAACTTAGAGTCTGTTAGCAAGTTGCCAAGGATACTCTCTCCCCCATGCTGGCATTCACAAATACAAGGATATTGGTGGCTTTGCTGATGTCAACATTTATTTTCCAAGTCAGCCACCTGGAAGTGGAAAAAAGCCATAATGCAACACCGTGTGCAAGGTTTTTGTGAGTCAGTCCTGGAAAGGTACCTCATCAATTCAATTCACATGGCATTGATGAAAATACATCACAAGCCCTAGCTGCAAGGGAGCCTGGGAAATGTAACTCCTCTAAGGTCAGCCATTTTCTAGCAACAGCTTGATACCAGCTTGATACCAAGAAAAATAGAGCTTATATTCTGGAGTAAATTTAGCTTATTTCTCAGGGTAGTTGTGAGGATTAGATGAATTTATTGTTGTCAAGTACTCAGAATAATATCTGTTAAATGGAAAGCTTCCAGTAAATTATCTTAATGTCCATTCTGTTTATCCCTAGTCTTACTCCATGTTATGGTCTTACTACTTCCCTTAAGTTTTACTCAGAAAACTTTAAACTATAACAAGAGAAATATCTAAAATCCAGTGGTTTTAGCAGTAAGAAATTATTATAAGGTAATTTAAATGAAGCCTTAAATTGTGACAATCTCAAGGTTGCTGAATTCAGCATCGCAGTGAAATCAACAAATATGTAGTGTCTTTCAGCTTTTATGTCCAGGATTCACTCTGTGTTAAGATTTATATACATAAGACTTTGTCCCATAATAAATAGAAAATGTATTGGGAATTCCAAGATACAGGAATATCTAGAAAAATATTACTGACAAGGACACTTCCTTCTGTATATTTTACTAATGTAAAAACATTAACCAGAAATTCTCAAGAAAGTTTTCTCAATGCTATTTCCCACAATTAGGTCACATTTTCACTACTAAATTAATTTACTAGCAGAAGGAAAAGACCTGCCATTCTTAAGTTAATAAATCAGGATTTAACCCTTGAGTTAGGGATAGGGCCATCTTCTCTTCAATTAAGGGATGGAAAGAAGGAAACATGGCAACAAAGTTGGTTGTTCAGAAGAAAAAAGGGAGCAAAAGTTTTCAGCACCTATTTGACAGTGTTTGCTATCACTTTTTATCTCTTGCCCAGATTACCAAAAACTTCTATGAAAATTCTATAGCTGGGTTTTCTGATTCTGCCCTACTGTGACAACATCTCATATGTTACTGCCAGATACTTTTTCCGAGTGGATAGGTTTTATTTGTTCCACATCAAAAGCTTCAATTCATTTTATACAATTTGGGTCTAAGAGCGCCTGTTGATTTTCTACTAGCATCTCATCATATAATATCGCACTCACTGAACCCTTTGCAGTGCGTCTTTCTCCCCTAAATATTGGAATGGTCTTCCCTATTACCTCAGTAAGGTCTTTACTCATATGCCATATTTTTTTATTACGTCCTTTTATATTTACCCTTACATAAAATTCCAATTACTTCCAACTTTTCCTATCCATTTTCACATTTTATATTTTTCTTATAAATTGACATTATCTGATATATTCTAATTAGACACTTACTGTCTTTTACTACAAAACATTATGCTCCAAAAAATCTGAAATTTTAAAATGTTTTAAAATATCCTATCCCTAGAATCTAGAGCAATGAATACTGCATACTAGATATTCTCTAAGTATTTGTTGAATAAGCAAATGAATACCTTAATTATGAAGGGGTGACCTTCCCCTCCACAACTATGGGTATTTCTGGTCGGGTGGGATGAGAGACTGAGAAAAGAAATAAGACACAGAGACAAAGTATAGAGAAACAACAGTGGGCCCAGGGGACTGGCGCTCAGCATACCAAGGACCTGCACCGGCCTCTGAGTTCCCTCAGTTTTTATTGATTATTATTTTCATTATTTCAGCAAAAAGGAATATAGTAGGAGAGCAGGGTGATAATAAGGAGAAGGTCAGCAAAAAACATGTGAGCAAAAGAATCTATGTCATAATTAAGTTCAAGGGAAGGTACTATGCCTGGATGTGCACATAGGCCAGATTTATGTTTCTCTCCACCCAAACATCTCAGTGGAGTAAAGAATAACAAGGCAGCGTTGCTGCAAACATGTCTCGCCTCCCACCACAGGGCAGTTTTTCTCCTATCTCAGAATTGAACAAATGTACAATCGGGTTTTATACCGAGACATTCAGTTCCCAGGGACAGGCAGGAGACAGTGGCCTTCCTCTATCTCAACTGCAAGAGGCTTTCCTCTTTTATTAATCCACCTCAGCACAGACCCTTTACAGGTGTGGGGCTTGGGGACAGTCAGGTCTTTCTCATCCCACGAGGCCATATTTCAGACTATCACATGGGGAGAAACCTTGGACAATACCCCGCTTTCAAGGGCAGAGGTCCCTGTGGCTTTCCACAGTGCATTGTGCCCCTGGTTTATTGAGACTAGAGAATGGCGATGACTTTTATCAAGTATACTGCCTGTAAACATTTTGTTAACAAGGCATGTCCTGCACAGCCCTAGGTCCCTTAAACCTTGATTTTATACAACACATGCTTTTGTGAGCTCCAGGTTGGTTCAAAGTGGCTGAGTCAAAGTGGCTGGGGCAAAGCTACAAATTAACAACATCTTAGCAAAGCAATTGTTTAAAGTACAGGTCTTTTTCAAAATGGACTCTCATGTCTTTCCTTTCTACATAGATACAGTAACAGTCTGATCTCTCTTTTCCCTACAAATTATGGGTATAAAAAGTCAATCAAACAAATTATAATTTGGGGAGTGTGTACAGGTCCTGAAGACCTGAACTATAGAAAGGAAATAATTGATTAAACCTTTCTTTTAAGTGCATTCTTTTTTTTTATTTTTATTTTTTATTTTTATTTTTGAGACAGAGTCTCATTCTGTCGCCCAGGCTGGACTGCAGTGGCACAATCTCAGCTCACTGCAACCTCTGCTTCCCAGGTTTGAGTGATTCTCCTGCCTCAGCCTCCCCAGTAGCTGGGAGAGGCGCGTGCCACCAGGCCCGGCTAATTTTTTGTATTTTTAGTAGAGGCGGGGTTTCAATGTGTTAGCCAGGATGGTGTCAGTCTCCTGACCTCTTGATCCACCAGCCTCGGCCTCCCAAAGTGCTGGGATTACAGGCGTGATTAAGTGCATTCTTTACACTTTGAACTTTTTTATTAATCTTCACATTGAAAGCCTAGTCGGCATTTCCAGTTGTATGAATTTTTTTGGTTTTAACTATACTAAATTTATAAAATCTTAAAACAAAAATTACACTAATTTTGTTATTTTATATAAAGCCTTAAAATAACAAATATTTAAATTTTGCATAGGTAAATGCTGCTAAACAAAGATTGCAATATCATTTAGATTCCTATTTGTCATTAATAGGCAGTACTTCTATTCAAAATTATGAAAGTTTCTTCATCAGCAGATGAGTTTTTAAAAAAATTAATATTTGAACGGTGGTTTGTGATGGTCAACTATAATGTAAGAACATAAAAATGGTGAAAGTATAAAGGTTCAAACCAACTGAAATTTTAAATGTATATTGAATAGATTTCTTCTACTTGGAAACATTTGAATATTTTATACATGCTGCATGAATTTTCAGTTCTATGACTACCATGAAACCTTCCCCAGTATCTTTATTTCAAAGTCTGGTAGATTGTTCTGTTGTTCCCAGATGGTTGTTCTTCCTTTCACTGTCAAGAGAATTGTATGTTTCTTCTTACTGTTATGTGATGTTTTCCGATTGGTGACATGTGGATGAACTCATCTGAGCAGTTGTTTTAAAAGGAATAATCAATCTCAATCATGTCTCTTTTCCTTCTGCTGCACAAGTGATATCTCCAAAAGAGGAACTTCACTTTTAGCTTGAGTCTTGGGATGATAAGATATTTGTAATGGCATCACAGTAGTTGCTGTAGCCACCAAAATGTGACATAAGCAAGAAATGAATTGCAAATTACTTCAATTTAGGGAGTCATTTGTTGCTGTGACAAATAAATCCTAATGTGACCCCCAGTGATATCTCATTTCCTGTTGCCTAATACCTTTCCTTTGGTGCAAGCTGGACCTTGCTTCTAATGCTTACAATACGGAAAACCAGATCGGTCATCACTCCCATGATTATGTTATGTTATGTTATGTTATGTTATGTTATGTTATGTTATGTTATGTTATGTTGTTATGTTATGTTAGATCTATTTTAGTAGATGTGACAAATGGATACCCCCTTATAGCAAAGAACTGCAGTTGGCCTCTAGAATCTGAGGGCAGCCTCCAGCCTGTAGCCAACAAAATCTTGGGACCTCAGTCATAAAACCACAAAGAAATGAATTCCGCCAACAGTCTTAATAAGCTTGGAACTGGATTCTTTTCTAGTGTAACCTCCAGATGAGAACACAAATAACATGTTGATTGTATGCATTTAAGACCCCTAAGAAGAGGGCCCATAGGGGTCTTGTCCAAACTCCCAATCCATAGAAAAGGTGAGATTAAAAAAATGTGTGTGATGTTTTAAGTCACTGTGCTTGGAATAATGTGTTACAAGACAATAGAAAACTAAAACAAGTTTTATAGAAAAGTTATCTCTTGGACAGTTCCTACCAATATCATAAACCTAATCTCAAAGTCTACCTTCTTCAACAAGGCAATGAAAAATGATAGTACCCACTCTTCACTTTCCTAGCATTTTGCACTGTGATATGGCACTTAGAATTTGCATGTAGACATATGTTAATTTTTAAATCTTATTCTATCTCACGTGTTTCTGATAGCCGAGAAAGTGCTTTTTATTTTTATTTGCCCACACTGCTAACATAACACTCCTCAATAAAATGTGTTCAAATCAAATAATTAAATCAATTTAAAATATAATAACTATTTTTAGAATCATAATTTTGGTCTAGGCACTAATATTAAACATATTTTAAGCAAAACAAAAATTTATTTAAAAATAATCTGTACTTTGTTTACATTGTTTTGGATTGATTTGTTTTTAGGCTAAATTTTTGGGGTTTCTTGTAGATAAAATGAAACTACTTAGCTTAAACTCTTATTTTATTTGAGCAAGTGATTAATTGTGTAGTTTCCTTAAGGTGATTAAGTATCGATCTGTGAGTCTCATCCTCTTGGTTACAATTTCTCATTATACTTTTATGTCCCTCTTACTGTACTTTCACTTTGTAGGGATCGCTATTATTGGATGTACTCCACCCAACTCTCAAATATGAGGTTAATCAGAAGTGTAGAAAGAGATGACCATGGGCTTCTCTGTAGGTACTAGTGTGAATAATTGATTATCAGAATTATGAAATCATGCAGTGCTAACAGTAGATATTTGTTAAAGCACAGAAGTCCTAAGAGATATGTTAAGTGGCATCAGGCTTTTGGGCTTACATCAATTCAAAAAATAAGAATATGCTAGAAACATAGAAGGACTTTGCAAATATTTTGTGAAGTCCAGAGAGTTTGGTAAGTCTAATATATTCCATATATTTACACATTTATTTACTTATCATTAGTCTTTCCTCACTAGAAAGTCAAGTCCATGCAAGGAGATTTCGTTCTTTTTATTCACTAACGTATTTTACCAGAATTTACAATAGCTTCTCATACTTAATGTTGGTTGACTAAATAAATATTTTTACATTATCTTGGCAATAAAAATAAACTTCTATTAAAATGAATTATAACAAACATGTTTTCTGAAAAAAGATACCTTAATGTAAGTCTGATTCCTTTGTCCTTCATGTATCTTCTTATATTCAGGATTTGTTTAACCACATGCAGCACCAATTGGTATAATCTATATATGAATGTGGACATCTCAATTGGTATATATGATTAAATAGAGTTATTTGGTCTGTAAATTGGTTGGCATATCTTTAGGGCTTTATATTGTTTCTCTATTATTTTAGTATTTTCTTTTGGCACTACAATCAGAGAAGATAAGAATTGAGCCGACTCTTGGCTCTGCAAAACACAAATCAGCACCTCCATTTTTTTCATATGTCCTTTCATTCCATGTCTAAGGCAAGGTCTTTTTCATGAAGGAAGAAGAGAATCACTCATGTCCATTCGGCTCTGCCATGATCACAGACTTGGAAAGACTTTAGTAGGAAAAAAACTGGGTTTTTACTATCAGCAAAAGTCTCCAAAGATATAGAGGTGTAATTGTGTGAGAAGTACACTGGAGTGATGGTGTCCTGTCTCTTAGATCAAGAATTTTGGTGTGGGGAACTTGCAGTTCACTGTCCTTAATTATATTTAATATCAGCTTGATGAGTCATTAGGACTAAAGCAGTTAAATACCAGGAGTATATGACTTAGTGTCAATAGAATGTCACTGCAGTTCTTGGCATGTTTAATAATGATAAACAGGTAGTATTTTTCCACAGTTTTGTCATTACAAGCAAGGTACACAAGTTGTTGGATGCACAGAAAATGTCATTTTTCTCATATAAATAAATGGCTACATGAGTAATGAGCCCAGGAGAATGAGGGATGAATGTTACTGTCTTCTCTTTCCCATCTTGTAAGCTCTTCCTGAAGAAAAACATACTATCTATAGCTGTCAAAGCAACGATGCTTGGTGTCTGAGTTGACTTCAGCAATTACAAGTAGAGATAATCTAGTTTTCTTTATGTGACAAAACCAGGAAAAATAGAAGTACTAAAAATCATGAGAGAGAAAAAAAGTAAAAACTGTAAAATGTTGAATACTGACAGAATTTTATTGTTGTTGAATTTAGGGGAGGTCACCATGTAAAATATTTGTCTGTTGAAATAGACCTCAATTTTTATACCAGCAAAGACCATGTTTAAAGATGAAAATTATTTTTAGTATAGGTATGCTGAGCAGCTCTAGCACAGACTAGAGTTGGGCTAGTGACCATTTCAATTTTATTAATCTTAAATTATCAAGTGCCACAAAAAACCTGTAAATATCATGTGAAAATTGATCATTTTTTTACTGTACTCTTACCTTATTCATCTCTTCTTAGTTTGTACGCATGAAGGAGTAACAAGGAAAGGGGATAAGTTTGACAAACATTAACATTAACATTAACTTGAGGTGTGGTATTGATAGCCAACAGGTAATTGTGCATAATATCTAGTATTATCTACTATTCTGTAATTTGGGTCATATACTGACAATGGATTATACTTTACACAAGCTTCCTTAGAACTAAAGAGCTAGACTAGATGTTTATTTAAATGAATGCCAGTAATTAGAAAAGGTTACTCAAGAGACAAAACCTTAGTTTGGTAGGCAAATCTTAAACTAGAGTAAGAAAATAAAATGCTTCCTCTTTACCTAGGCATAGCCTTCCTTTTGACCTAGCACCCTAAGAATAAATATGACAAAAAAAATCTCTGGGGTACTTGTGTGTATATACACGCCTGTGTGTGTGCCTGAGGGCAAGGAAAAGGTTTGTTCCTGGATGTCAAGTTGCTTTGAAATTTTTACTCACAGGCTTTCTTATTATGTTCTGCAATGTTCCATGAAAAGAGGAATGCAATATGAAATAACTCTGAGGCAGCTAAGGTTAAATTATGATCCCTAGTTGAAACTAGAATGAAATAAGGACAACTAAGTGAAGTTGATGTGCTCTACTGAATGAAGAAAACTGTAAAAAGTTTCAAGATATGCTAAATAATTCACTATAGAACTACTGAGTGATGTGTCTACTTAGAGTGCAAGTGAGTTGAATTTCCTGCAAATCTCCTCAGCTATACCGTGGTTAAGCTGCATTATGTGTATTAGCAGGTATATAGCATAATATGGCTATATACATACAATATATATGTATGTATATATGCTGTATATATACTATATATAGTATATATTGTATATGCTGTTTATATACATATATACACATATATACAATATAACATAATACATACATATATGTATGTATCCTATAGATCCTATGCATGTATATTATATGTATGCTGTATTAGAAACCTAAAGCTGAGAAGGTATGGAATGTTAGAGCTAGAAGGGACCTTAGAAATCATCTATGTTTCACCTGAGTTCCCTCAATTGTTTAGCATTCAAAAGGTTGTAATGAAGATCCAGGAGCTATTTTGATAACCAGTTGTAACATCCTACTAAGACACATGAAATTATATTTAGCCTAGTAGGCCTTATGGTTGTGGTAATTTGTGATTTGTATTAGGCTCTCTGAAATATTCAAAATAGAATCCTAGATAACAGTTATGATGAATGCCACTTTCTGTCAGTCGAGAATATTAACACAGGAATTTCAAAGGAGGATATTTTAAATTATACATACTACAGATAAAAAGTCTGTTAGAAGTGAATTGGTTGATTTTGGTTTCTGATCATTGTTTTACACGCAGAACAGCCACTCTGCCCAAAAAATAAAACAAAATTACAAAGCGTAGTTTTGTCCTAGTTCTGGCTCCTCAAATACTTGGAGAATTTTCTTCAAGCCTGGACTTCTACCAAAAACCAATTTTATCTCTCACTTTGCAATGCTATCTAAAAATATGTCATGACTTTTGTCAATGTGCATCTTCTGAGAAAGTTGCTGTGTTTCCAGAATAAACTGATTAATAATGGAAACTTTATAACCTTGGTAATTTTGCAATTTTTTAAATTTAAACATCGATTTTTCCTTCTTTTCTTCCTTCTAGGTTCCTTCCTTTATCTTTCTCTCTCTCTTTCTTTCTTTCCTTCCTTCCTTCCTTCTTTTCTTTCGCTCTTTCCTTTTCTTTTTTCCTTTCTCCCTTCCTTTCGATTTTGCCATCTCCTCTTGAAGTTCAGTCTTCTACAAATTATTAGTGCAGAATAAATTTCTTCTTTTCTCAATACTTTTGTCTCTGAGTCTTGCTTTCACAGCCACTAGTAGGTATAAGGTACCATTAATTATTGTTCTGTGATATACTAGCCATTGTACAAAGAGCTTAGAAAACATTACCTTTTAAAATCTTTTCATTTGAGTGAGGATTTTAAAATAATAAAGGAAGATTTTAGTAATTTTTCCAATGTCACAATCAGTGGCAAACCTAGGTCTGTCTGTCTCAAAATCCATGCCTCTGATTAGCATACAATAAGAATGACTGAACTCTGAATTTAATAAAGATCTTAAATGTGTATTAATTGCCTTGTTACTTAAAGTATGCCTTTGTTCCTAAAATTTAAGACAAAATTTCCCAGGAAATATCTTAATGTAGATTATAAGCTAATAAATCATCAAAAATATACAAATTTTGTAGAAAATTTTGGCATTGATTTGTTGTCTTTATGTATCAAAGATAATAATTTGTAAATGTTACATTAAGGGCTTTTACTAAGTTCCTTTACTTTGCTAATCAGGTATTTACTTACATAAGTTCGAAAAGAATCTATCTTCCTTATTAACAAATTTAAATTTGTAAATCACAGTTTTAATTATTACCATGCTAGAAATACACCATTTGTTAGGTATGACAAGACCTCTACTGAGCAAAAAGATTATCCTTCACATGAACTGATAATTAAGATAATATATTTCTAGGCCATAAAAGTCAACTATACTCTGTGAACACAGATTATCATCTCCAAATAGCATTTCCCATTAATAGTTGAAGGGCTCCTTGAAGAAATGGCTCATTTTGGCTGTGGGACAGGATATATCCAAGATGAGTCTGAAATATCTTGTCATATCAGATAGCAAGGATGCTTGCGAAGGTAATTATGGTCAAATCAATAGGACTCGGTATGGTAAAAAACATAAAGAAGGTACCAGAGGGGAAATTTCCACAGGTGTGACAATTTGAACATAGATAATAGTAATAATTGTAATGAATTCACATAGATCAAATATGTTTAAACCATAAGTTCAAAAATGTCCGATCTGAATTGAGATGCACAGATTATGCAGCGTTGCTGAAACTCTTGGTCTTTCCGTATATACATGTCCTCAAAGCAGTTCTGAAATCTTATATTTGTTTTAAAGTTGTTCATTTGGGAACAACTGTGCCCAATATGTTTTGCCTCTGAGTATTTTCTGTTAGCATCCCACATTTTGGTAGTAGTGGGTTCTCTCTGAAATCAATATACTTATCAGAATTTGGTGCAATGAATAGAGGAGATAAGTCAAAAGCTGTCATTATTTTTGTTTTCTCTTTCAATATAAATATATCAGTGTCTAATTTGGGGAGTCTGAAATAAAAATCAAGATAATAAAAGTTCACAAGTATTTTTATCTCCCATTATCATAATATAGACAAAATATTTGTAATTACAATGACAAAAAATAGCTTAAGAAAATAAATACATTTTATTTCCCAATATGATATGATTGTGTGTATGTTTTTAATTATTCTCACTACTGTTTTATCTACCAACTATTCTCATGACATACCTTAGGAAGATAATAACTCCTTAAAAAGGAAATAAAACACTGGAACATTGCTACATAAAAGCTTTTAAAAGGAAAAAATGTAATAACATTTGATTAAGTTTTTAGCAAAATCTGAAAGTAGATACTTCAGAGAGAATGTACACTTCAGGTAAAAATTTATCAAAATCTTCAAATGTCTTTTCCCCCCAGCATTTGGTAGTAGATTTAGATTGGCAAAAACATCCAGGTACTTCAAATAAGACAAAATGAATATGTCGTTGTCCCTCTGTTGGGTACTAGTAGCTATCATCCCCTATTTCGTTTATTTCTTTTTATTACCTCCATAAAATCATTAATTCTGCTTTTGATAATACTCTCTAATTTTCTCTGGGGAAGGATCCCTTCTCCACGTACTACACATGTTCATCTGGTGAAACTGATTTTACTATCAGATTACAAAAGTGTCGCAGCAAAAGATCTAGGCTAAGCAGCAAATGTTCTAGGCTAAGCCAGTACCAGAATTCCATACATACCCTCTATCATAGAGATAGATCCAGAAAGATGAATACGTTCCACAAATGAAGACAATGCATGAAAGTTCTGGGTGTTTGTTGTTGTTCTATAAGTTTGTTAATATAAACTCTCCAGTGCCTCCTCCTTGGGTGACTCTAGCTCTAAATAATTTATCAAAGTCAAAGACCTAATATTTTTGAAAGCCAGACATCGGAAAGGAGAACAGGATCAACTCAGAGGAAAGAAAGCTGACAGATACTGGTATAGTAGTTTGGACCCCAAGCAGGCTGTACTTGAGACCAGAACTCCACAGCACTGTGCAGATTATAGTCTCTCAGCAAAGTCATGTTTGTTTCTTGTTGTTGAGCTGTGTGGGCAAAGAGGATGTTATGGGCTGACCACTGTCCTCCAAAACACACGCGTTGAAGTCCTAACTCCTGAGAAAATACAACAGAATGTGACTTTATTTGGAGATAGAATTCTTAAAGAGTTAATCAAGTTAAAATTAGGTAATTAAGGTGGGCCTTAATTCAATGTGACTGGGGTCTTCATAAAAAGAGAAATTTGGACCTATACATGCATAGAAGGTAAACAGAAAGAGGCAGGGAGAAGACAGTCATCTGCAAGCTAACCTGCACAGCCTTCAGAAGGCTCAGAAGGAATCAAGCCTGTTGGTATCTTAATATTGGACTTCTAGCTTCCAGGACTGTGAGCCAATAAATTTCTGTTGTTTAGATCACTCGACTGTGGTATTTTGTTGCAGCCTCCCTAGCACACTTAACAGAAAAGGTAAAATGAAAAATGTCATCTGTAGTTGTCACTCACCCTCAAATGAAAAAAATGAAAGCCTCCTTTGTTTTAAAAAAACAAAGACATTGATAAAATAATACAAGCCTTATTCACCAAATACAGACAAAATATTCATAATTTTAATAACAAAATAACTTGAAGACATAATAACTTCTTCTTCCAATATATTGCATTTATGGATATGCTCTTCAAAATGGAAGCTGATATGGTTTGGACCTGTGTTCTCACCAAATCTTTTTGTAATCCCCAGTGTTGGAGGTGGGGCCTGGTGGGAGGTGATTGGATCATGGGGACAGATTTTCTCATAAATAGTTTCTCACCATCGCTTTGGTGCTGTCCTCACGACAGTGAGTGAGTTCTCATGAAATCTGGTCAATTAAAAGCATGTAGCACCTCAACCAGCTCTCTTTCTCCTGCTTCTGCCCTGTAAAGTTTCTGGCTTTGCCTTCTGCCATAAATTTAAGTTTCTTGAGGCTTCCCCAGCAGCTGAGCAGATGCCAGCATCAAGCTTCCCGTACAGCCCATGGAACTGTGAACCAATTAAAACTATTTTCTTTATAAATTACCCAATATGAGCTATTTCTTTATAGCGATGCAAGAATGGACTAATACAGAAGCCAATAAATTATTTTGTTTATGTAAGCCATTTTGAGACTCTGTTTTCTGTTAATTACTATTAGGAATCATTTTGACTGCAATACACCAGATGTATATGTAGTGCACTTCGACTTACTGCATTCCCCCAATTGTCTAGATTTTATTTATTTGGGGTAATATAAAATAAATATTTATATCTCAGAAGTTAAGCAGGAGATTCTTTATGAGTTGACAAATGGCATTTTTCTCTCTCAGTAATTTCAAGAGAAATACAAAGCAATGAAGACTACATGAAACTTGGAAAGTAAAGAGCTTAATCTCACACAGTTACTGTTGTTTGCCTTCCATAACTCAATTTCTTAAAAGCTCCCTTCATAGTCAAATGTAGTAGATTTTTTGACCAAACCTTTATGAATTGTTCACACTTAGTGTCTGCACACTTGAAAATTTCAACCCTTCGCCTCTTTTTCCCTCAATCCTTTTCTTAAATCCATTACAAAACAAAATCACTCCTGACTCTGGTGATAAATCACTATATTACAACCATCAGGGCATTTAATTTGTGACTAAAATCAATTGGGATTTGCTGATGCCAAAAAGTAATATATTGTGAGTTAAGGGGAAAAAAGTGGATATTACACGCCAGTGTAAGATGGACCGTCAGTCACCTTGATGACCAAGCAACAATTTATGGTTTGTAAAAATGAAACAGATAAATTGTAAGAAAAATGCTCTTTGACTTTACATCGACGTGTAGGATTCAGCTGGAGGAAAACAAATGAAATGGCTTTGCAGAAAAATGGAGAGATATATGGTGGTGTTGAGATACTGTGTTTTTTGGGAAATGTGTAGGGGATGTGAAGAGGTACATGTGTAATTCTTGCCTAAAGATCTCGAATTTGCAAATAATGTTTTACTAAATAATTATTAACTGATTCATCTATCCACTTATCAATTATTGACAAATCTAATATCATGAACATGTAGTGGTAGAATGGCCGGCTAAGTTTCAGATCCATCAGAAAGGTTACAGCCAACACTTCTATAATGAAAAATAGATTAACAAGAGAAAAACATAAAAAATTTATTTAATAAAACCTTTACATGACATGGGAGCCTTCAGAAATGAAGACAAAAGACTCAGGGAAAAACAGTCTATTTTTTTTTTTTTTGCATAGATAGATGAAGAATGGACAGCCATGTAGAAATGTGATCAGACAGAGGGTGTGATCTGACAACCACAGACAGAACGGGGCAACCTAGCAAGGCTTGTCTGTTCATATTCTGCTTGGCCTGTCTGTGTAGCATTTCTTCCTCTAGGTATGGGACAGAATCCTCTGGAATGAGGATCTTCATGACAGAAGGGAGAAAAAAGAGAGTTACCTTTCTAGGATTTAAGGCTTGCTTTGTGGGAGAGGGTATGTAGTTTCTATGACCTCCTGGGGGAAGAGGAATTCACATTTCCATGACTCTCTTCAGGGGAAAAAGACAGGCAGGAAACAGGAGGGTAGGAGAATGTCAGAGAGACGTTGCTTTTGAGGCCTTTCCAGTTTTGCTCAGTGCAAAGTACTGAGCATGCCAAGATGCCATACTTTGGAGTATCATCTTCTGAGCCCTAACAAGGATGAATGTTTTTACTATTTTTAAAAGCTAAATTTTAGTAGATGATGAACTACAACTCCTGGCACCTTCAGAGCCTGAGGTAACTGATATAATGTTGGAACCATAACTATGCGCTTCTGCCTGGAGAGATCATTATCCAAATGATGAGAAAAATCTCTATGTCTTAGTGTCTGCTAGGATTTATGGCTTAATTTTTTTCTATCACAGGTAAGACCAGAAATAGTATAAATAAGTGGTATAATAAAAGAGGAATTTATACTATCCATGATGAGAAACATATCAGACATTTAAATGTTTGTTGTGTGGTTGCAGTTGCACAAGCCAAATTGCATTTTTACATTTCATTTTCTCTACCCTATAAGAGATAAATGTTTTCAACTTGTTCATCCTACATATTTGTTACTTTGTATCTTTTGATCTATGCTTCCTGATATAACTAAGATCACTATTATTATTGAGAGAACAAAGGTTTGAAGAGTTTGCCTATGATTACATAGTTATTGAGAGCAGCCTTGAACCTGGGTATATTTTATGCCATAACTTCACTCGTAACTTCCAAGGTTTAACAGTGAGCACAGAAGAGACTGGAATTGATGACTATCAGTAGTCAATATTCAACAAATGACTCTTCTGCCAATGACAAGGGAACTGCCACTAACAATAAAAATGCTTTGTTAATTTAATGTGATGATATTTACAAAACTGGAACTTTTTTGCAGCCAAACAAACTTAGAAATACATTTATTATGTATGTGGCTTTGGACAAGTTACTTAAGCTCTTTGAGCTCATTGATTAATTGATTGAGTCTACAAATATTTATTATTTATGTTATGGCATTATTTATTTTTAATACTTAATATCTATATATAAAGCAACAACCCTCAATAAAAATATTAAAGTTATAATTTCAAATTGTAAGTGCTACAAAGTTATTATTACTCTTAAATATTGTGTAAGTAGGTGAAGAGAGAGTAGAGGAGGAGTGAGGCTATTTTAAATAGGGTGATCAGGAAAAGCATTGCTGAAGCTGTGGTATTTGGTTGAGATCTGAACAATGTGAGAGTCATTTAGGTGATAATATTCAGAAAATGGGTTGTACTGAAGAAATAAGAAGTACAAATATCTTAAAGTCAGAATAATCTTGGCACATTTGAGAAAGCCATTGTTACCAGGACAAAGTGACGGTGAGATTTAAATCAGCAGGGATATTGGAGATCAAATCACATAGAGCTTTAAAGTCATGGCATGAAATGTGGAATTTCCTATAAGTGCTATGAGAAAGTATAAGAATGTTTTAACATGGTGATGATGTAATCTAAGTTATTTCAGCATCCCTTTGACTGCAGTATGAAGAATGAACTAAACTCAGGATAGAGTAAAAGCAAGAAAAGAGAATAGATGTTAAGTATTCTCACCACAAAGATAAAAACTTTGTGAGGTAGCGCATATGTCAATAAGTTAGATTTAGTCATTCCACAATGCATGTATGCTTGAAACATCATGTTGTACACATAAAATACATACAATTTTATCTATCAATTTAAAATATTAAATTAAACAATCAAAAAATAAAATTTAGCAGTTGATTGTCCTAGTTTTAAGGAGAGATGTTTGTGCCTTGGTTCTATGAAGTCAATAGTGACAATGGTGTTCATAAGGTTTGAGGCAAACCTTGGGGCAGAGCCAACAAGAATTTGGTTATAGATTGAATGTAGGTTGTAAGAAATTAAAGATAATTTGTAGGATTCTTTTCATCACCATAACTATGTGGTTTGTAGGGCCATGAACCATAATGAGAGATGCTGGGTTGAGGAAGCAGTTCCTGTTGGAATGGAGAGAGGGAATGTTAGCTGATACTTTTATTTTGATCAAATTATCTCAGAAAAACCTATCAGATATTTAAAAGGAAATGTGAGAAGATGTGAATATATGATTGTAGAGCCACTGGAGGAGACAGAAGTCTTACATGCATGCACTGGAAATATTATCATATTTAAAGTCATGGAACTGGATAACATGCAGTGAGCCCTCCATATCCAAAGGTGCCATATCAGCAGATTCAACCAACAATGAATCATAAAGATTCAGCAAAAATAAATAAATAAATAAATAAATAATAATAACAATAAAAATAATACAAATAAAAAATGCAGTATAACCATCATTTACATAGCATTTACATTATGTTAAGTATGTAAGTTATATAGAGAAGATTTAAAGTAAACAAGAGGATGTGTGTAGGTTATATGCAAATATGACACCATTTTCTATCAGGAATTTAAACATCCCTGGATTTTGGTATCTGCAAGGGTTGGGGGTTCTTCCTGGAATTAATTCCCTTTGGATACCAAAAGATGACTTTAACTAGGAAAAGAATAAAGATAGAAAAAAGAAGGCATCTAAAAATTTAAAGTGCAGACAGGAAGGAGAAACACTCAAAGGAAAGCACAAGAAAATAACCAGAAAGTGTTGAAAAGACTATAAGGAATGTACTGTCAGCTGAAGACTGTAGAGAATGAATGTTCATCTGTTGCAAATGCTACTGAGAACTTAAATAAAATGAAGGCAGAAAACTGACTCTATACAAGAGAGATTTCTGTGATATCAATAAATTGTGGGTAATAACTATCTGAGATACTCAAGTTAAGGTTAAATAAACTGAAATATAGAAAATGATTACTTTGTTTAACTAAGGCTGTGCAAAAAATTACCCCTGAAATTACTGGTATAAAACAATCAAATATTATGCTCATGGAGTCTGTGGGTCAGAAATTCAGGAAAGACTCAGCTGGGCAATTCTTGCTTGGGGTCTCATGTGGTTGCAATCAGAATTCTCTCAGCTTGGAAGAATTCTCTCAGCTTGGAAGAATTCTCTCAGCTTGGAGTCATCTAAAACCCTGATAAGGCTGGGAGAATCACTTCCAAAGTGATTCAATCACAATGATGGCAAGTGTGTGTTGACTATTCTCCAACAGCTATAGCTCTTTTCCATGTGAGCCCTTGAGCCTCTCCATAGAGCTATATAAGTGTCCCCACACCATGATAGCTGGCTCTCCCTGAACAAGTACGTCAAGATATCAAAGAGAAAGCAGAAACCTCAGAAGTCACACATCGTTACTTCTGCCATTATCTACTGATTATGAAGGTCATTCTTAATGAATAATAGATCAGCCCCAATTTACTCGTAGAAATGAGCAAATATCAGGGGGTAAGGATTATTGGGAACCATCTTGAAGGCTGACAACCACAGTAACATATACTTTTAAATTATTAAGTATATTGACTGGAGGATATAGTGGACCTTCAGTAAATGGTAGTAATGGGATTTAACCAAACCCAATTTAAGGACACAATTTTCCAGACTGCCAGAAACTGCCCAATACTTCAAATATTATACACATCACAATTTGCAGAGTCCCCAAGGCCACACTCACTTCTAACCAACTGGCTATAAATCTGGGGTTCCCATGGTTTGATTACAAGCTTAGAATGACCTGCAGAACTCAGGAAAGCACTATACTTTTTATTAAAGTTTTATTACAGCAAATGGATACAAATCAGAACTAGTCAAAGGAAGAGATGCATAAGAAAGAAGACGGGACTAGAAGGGCTTCAAATCTAAAGTTTCTGTGTCCTCCGGGATGCATTACTCTTCTGGCATCAACATTTGGCAATACAGAGTACTGTAAGCCTAGAAGCATGCCCATGCTTCGGTGTTCAGACTCTTTACTGATATTTCATTATGTAGGCATGATTGACTTGGTTCCTGTCCACAGAGTAGAACTTAATCCCTAGGTCCCACACCCGTCCCTGAAGATCAGACTGAATTCACATGGTCACAAACCCCAACCCTCTAATCATATGTTTGGTCTTTCTGTCATGACAAGTCCACACCTTGGGTCATCTCTGTTAGCATAAACAATTGATTATGGTTCAAGGTACCCACCATAAATAACAAAGATATTTCTATTACTCAGGAAATTCCAAGCAGTTAGAGCTTAGCCCCAGAACCAGAACAAAGGCCAGACCCAGGTAAAGTTAATTTTTCACTAAACAGATAGATATTATTATTGCCATTAAAGCTGAGTTCCTAAATAAAACAATAGAGAATATGACAAGATTTCAGATTCCCTAAGATTATAGACATTTAGAGATGAATGGAAATTGAATATCTGCTCTTTTTGGTATTTTGCTGCTAAGTCCTACCATTTTACTGTCTCTGATTTTACTTTATGTCAACACTAATTAAGCAATGAGACCCTGCAGCTTTCCCCAACCAGGAAGCCAGGAAATACGCAGAATCCAATTAGCCTTTTTTGTAGCCCTGTGCTTAAGTCAAGATAACTATCATCCTGAATTCAAGGTTGTTCACATGAGTATCACCAGAGTAAACATAGGAAATGAGAACCAGTATATTCATGAAGAGTAAGAACTGGAGATTATAGATCTGACATTAACACACACATTTTCTATGTTCTGACCCTTATGAGAGCCACTATTCATGGGGCATCACTGTCCTTTCACCTCATTATTGTAATACAATCTCCTCCTGCTGTCTTTTCACCCTTAAATTTATATCCCATTATACTACATTTACCTCTGCTATGACACCATTATCATGAGGGCAGGGTTTCAGTTTCAGGAAGCTTTCCTCTAATTTTATATTTAAATAGAATTTCTTAGTACAGTGAATCCATTTTAGATGTTTCTGGAAGAATTATAGAAGAGTTATAAGTATGACAATTTTTGGAGGAAGTATATATGAGTCAATAAAATTGGGGCAAGAAGCATGTAGAAGTTTTTCAAAATTACGGCAGTAGGTTGGGTTCTCTGTTTCGGTTGCTTTGTGAAATTGACATATTCATATCACTTCTTACCTTAAATATATTCTGGAATTTCTCATCTCTGTCCCATCAATACATGAAACTTATTTAGCACCAACTAAATGTTTATGAAACAACAAGCTACCCCCTACAAAGAATCAATGTGTGTACAACACAGGCCTCGGCCAGGAAAGGGCTTATAGTCCGAGTTGTGCACTTTCCTCTGTCTAGAATATTCCTTTACTTCTCCTCTCTTTATTTTTATGGTTCTCTCCAGACCACCAGGTATCCTCATTTTCTGTTTTTCCAGTTTTATAATAGTAAACTCAAACACACTAAATTACACAGAGCTTAATGGACTTCTATCCATGAAAGTTAGAACATCTAAATTATATTTTTTCAAATCATATCAAGTTATATTAAGTTAAATCTTAATATAAGTATGTAAGATATACTTACATATCACAACTTATATTAAGTGCATCTTATATAATTATAGTAAGTATAATATATAGCTTTGTATAAACTTAAAATTATCTTATGCCTTTGTTCATTTATTTTTCTGAAATTGTAACTTATGGAAATAAATGTAACGTCAAAAGTAAAATGTGTGTGCCATATTTTATAATAGCCTTGAACACTTTGAATTCTAAAGTAAGAACTATAAACTGGAAAAATACAAAGTCTCTATAATGGTAACTATGTAAGAGTAGAGTTGCTTTATTATACCTTTCTGCATTCAGGTATTATTTTTATCCAGACTACATATTTGCATATGTAATTTATTATTGTTCTGCCCTACAAAAGGTTTTATCTACTAAATATTTGTTTGTCTTCTCTCTGTTTCTTGTGTTTGTGACTAACAAGAGATGCAATTGTTTTGAATTAAAGTTTTATTTATTCTTCCTCTCTCATCTGAGAAAGATTCTTGCTTTTCTGGGAAATCAGCCTCCCCTAAACAGGATATATTGCTACTAAATTCATACTTATAATTAAAATATTATCTCTTTTTTTATGTCTTTGCTGTCTGGATTATTTGCAGTAGTATGATGCACAGAGAGAAGTAAACGAGCATAATGGAAAAACTTGACTTTGGGGATCAGGTAAATTCTAGTAGTGACACCACCTATAGGATGTAGAAGTGTTATAATATTGCCATTGCTCAGAAATTCCAGCTATCAAATGAAGAATATTAATAGATATGTTCTCCCAAAGTTTAGTTGTTAATGTCAAATATAATAGGAGTAGAACAGCTATGTTTGTATTTGTATTCAGTATATTATAGCTTCTATTATTACTAACATTAGGATGGAGATTCTTCTTGATATTCTTTAATTTGCTTAATTATCTAGCAGAGAAATACCAAGTGCTCATTAAACATTAATTAAATTGAACTGAGAATTATCAATTTTCAAGAGTTTACAGGTTCAATGCAATGGCAATAATTCATTAATGTCAATCAATCTACTTCCTCCTACTATTAGTAGACCCTCAATCTTCAAACCTTCAGTCTCAGAATTGGCCATGTGACCCATAATGAGAAATTCATAGTACTCAGGACCCTGGCCCACTGATTGGCCCTTAGATGGGCCCATGAGCCAGACAAGATCATGTTTGGTTTTTTTTCCTGCAATTTTAAATATTGGCTTTGAAGGTGATTTATGGATCTCTCATCTCAAGCTCCTAAATAAGGTTAATGTATGTAAACTTAATGTTCCCTCTAGCAGGGAGAATATTTGCTTATGAAATGAATAAACATAGGCAAAATACAGACTTAAAAAATGATTAAAAGTTGACATAGGAGTGACTCCAGAAGTGGGGAATCAAATTCTGGACCAGATTGAAGACTAGCTGAAACAGGGAAGAGGCAAAAACACCTTTCCATAAGAGATGCTCACTAATGCCATGGCAGTTTACCATTGCAATGGCAACACCCTGAATTTACTGCCTCTTTCTATGACAATCACCTGATGACCCAGAAGTTACTACCTTTTTTTCTAAAAATTTCTGCATAATCCACCCTTAATTTGAATGTAGTTAAAAGAGAGTATAAATATGACTGCATGACTGTCTCTGAGTTGCTACTCTGGCAAACTGTCTATGGGGTAGCTCTGCTCCACAAACAGCAATACCACTGCTGCTGCTGTAGACTGCTGCTTTAATAAAAGTTGCTGTCTAACACCATCTAACACCATCACTTGCCCTAACATTTTTCCCAGACAAAACCAAGAACCCACCCAGGCTAAGCCCCAGTCTGGGGGCTCACTGGCTGTGCATCACAATGACTAAAGTTTTTGCCTGTGTTGTGTATGTAGAAGGATCAGGAGAAGGAGGAGAAGAGAAAGACATAAGTATTTGAGTGTTTAGATCTAGTCATTTCTAATTCCCTTAGTGTTTGGGTGTTGCTTCTTAAAAGATTCCTGAGGAATAGTTGCAGGAAAGAATGAATATTTTCATTTTAAGGAAACTTGAGTTTTGACTTTAATTATGTTTGAAGTCTTGAATACAGCTGAAGAAGAGAAGTCCTAAAGTTGTTCATGACTGTGGAACAATATATTTCTAAAAAGTCTTTATTTGGGAATACAATAGATGAAATGCAGATCATAGTCTGTTTCATATATTTATAAATGATTTTCTAACACTATCTCTGACAATCATAGCATTGAATGTACATAAAAAATTGGATGCCTATTAGCTTTCTCATACATTTCAAAATTTAAAGTAGGCAAGAATTTATGAGACATGAAATGACAGTGTTACAGTAAATTTTTATATTGGCCACCATATTTATTTAAATTATACAGATATTTATTAATAGTAAAAGGAAAAACTATGCCACTTGACCTTTCCTATTATATAGCTCATGAAATTTCAAGTTATATCAATTATTTTTCTAATACTTTGTGCAGTGTTTGACATCTAGTTTAATTTTTAGTTATTTTTAAATTTTCTGTTTACTCAGCAGCCATCTCAGTTTTTTAAAAAATTATGTCATTGAAAAAGTTAAAATTTGGCAATCATACAGCCATGTTCTCTCTCTTTTACACACACATACACATGTACACACCCATACACATACTCCTATCTATCTATATGTCTATATTTTTGTTTATTTATTTCTGACATCCAAATATCATAAGACCACTGCACATATCAGACGGCCAATGCAGTAGCCTCTTGAGACTTGTAATATATATATTCAAATATATACGAACACCCACATCCAAATATTAAAAATAAAATTACCAAAGTATACAATAAGTTTTGCTTTTTTAAAAAAATTTCACTCCAAAATTCAAAACTCAAATCTATAACATATTTCCTACAATTTCCAGTCTGTAGTTAGTTACCTTCTATCCGTTACCACCTCACCTATTCACTCTTGCTCCTATACACACACACACGTGCGCACACACACACCATACAGTTTCAGTATTTTCTTTTATCACTTTTAAGAATGGCATTTTGTTACTACCCAAACAAAATTGATAAGTTGTTACTGACTAATAGCAGCAATAACAATAATGATAATAGCAAATACTCTTATAAGACTTACCAAGTTCTAGGCACTGATCATAAAGTAACTTACACTTACAGAAAATCACTCATTGAATCTATCCCCATGGAAACTTTTATGAGGTGAAGGTATTTATTATTAATGTGTTCCATTTCACAGATGAGAAAGTCAAGGCACAGGGAGTTTCAGAGTAATTCAGTTAGAGATGAGCAGGGCCAGAAGTCACACCCAGGCAGTGAGGCTCTAGATTTGAACACTTGATCAGTACATAGTCTACATCTTACTTTGGTCCACACAGATTCAACTTTATGACATGTCTTCCTAAAATTTATACTGACATTTATATTGATTAATCACATTTATGTTTCCTAAATGTATTTTATTCATGTTTTCCATTTCTGCATATAATATATAATATTTACATGATCACCTAATCTATGTTATTCTGGCACATTTTATGCATTCAACCTAATCTGTGCAATTTCTCTCTATAATACGCATGGGAATTTTATTTTGTAGATGTGAGAAACTTCTCTATCTTGACTCTTATCCAACTACAACAGATCCTACACAGTCACTTAAAAAATATAATTCAGATAACATCTCTTTTAAAACCTCTGGTGACTTAACCTATCTTTAGAATAAAACCAAGCATGGTTTACCATGACCTATATTACTCTACCTGATCTGTTCTCTATGTACTCCCATTAAACCTTTTCCATATAACCCTCACCCTCTCTCTACCTTCTTTTTTCAACTTCCTGTGTAAAAACTCACCTTACTACACTCACACCTGAGCTAATGAATTCTATTACTAGAACATTTGCACTGTTCATTCTCTCTTTACTTGGGGTCCTTTTCTTTGGGTTCTTTGTATTGCTGGCTCCTTTTCATGCTACAGATCAGAGTAACATCTCAGCAAGTATCCCTCTAATCCAGTTGTTTTTAATTTATGGTACCCAGCTCGCCAGCAGCAGCATCACTTGTGGTCTTATTAGAAAGGTGGACTTCCAGGCTCCTACCCATACCCACTAATTTAGAGTATGGGATGGACTCCAGGAATCTGTGTGTTTCTAAGCTCTCCAGAAAATTATCTTGTCTGATAAAGCTTGTAAACTAGTCACTACACTCTTAGCTAACAAAATGCACTTCTTGACAGTCATGTGCTAGCTAGCACATTACCACATTAATTGTTTTACAAAGCTTTTGTAACTATCAAAATGATGTTATTTATTGTGTTTGTTTTTGCTCAGTTGTCAATTTCTCATCCAGATTTACTCTCTACAACTAGATTTAGATCGCTACTTCTATTAAAGCAGAGTCTTTGCCTTTCCAGTTTCCACAACAAGCAGATAGCTTACTCAGAGAAGTGATCCACAAGAGTGCAACACAGATCAAGGCACAGCCCAGTGAAGGTTGCATGATTGAGCTGCTTTTTGTTGTGGGTGACTGAGGCTCAGTCCTACTGGGCACTCTTTGAAGAACCATGTGTGAAGATCCTCAAAATTGCCCATCTAATCTATGGAAGAGGAGACTATTCATTTCCCAGTTCTTTCTACTATTGCACAAAAGCTATCCCAGGGCATGTGAACTCCCCAAGATTTCTAAGTCAGTTCATGAGCTAGAAGGAGTGAGTGCAATCCTAAAAACACCAATAAAGTCCCCAGGAAGGAAGTCCAAGGTGTTGTATCAACACACTGAGGGGACACGTCATCAGGGTAGTTGATGGCCACAGCAATATCCAGAGCAACTAAATGGGCTTAGAGGATGTAAAGCATACTGAGATTACTGTCTGACATACTTTTAAATTGTGGTATCTGCATCACCTCAAAAACATAAAAAAATGTAGTGCATCCTCAAATATTTCTAAACAATAAAATCAATCAAGTAACGAATCTATTAGCTAGCCCACATATACATAATTGGGATGAGGCAAAGACAAAATTTAACTCAGTTGTGATAATTTACTAAACATGAATTTTCTATTTTATCCATCTCCCTTCCATTTTTAAAATGAATACATTAAATAGTATATAATTAAAAACATGTTTATTCTCATGATCATCTGACGCTGCAGTAGGGAAAGCCACATCCTCTACTACTCTCATATTATCAGGGACTTCATAGAAGTATCAGGTATAGTGATAGTTTAAAATAAGGTCTCATGGGAATGCAGAATAAGATTTCATACTGACAATAATGTAGGTCACTAGTTCTCAAACTTTTGCATAGAGTGGAATAAACTGGAGGGTTTGTTAAAACACAGATTGCTTGTAAGATACATGGATGTGCTTTGGCCAAGGAATAGGCCAAGGCAGATGTCCCGCCAGAGTGACTCAGCAAGCTTTGTGCACAGGCGCACACCTCCACTTGTTTTATAACCTGTTTGTGTAAGTTCATACTTGATTTGGAGTCACTACTGTCTGTAGAAGGTATAGTTGCCCTGCGGACTCTGTGCACAGAGGCTCATGCACGGAGGCACGTCTTGGCTCAACATGGCTGGTCACGGCTCTTGTGCAGGCACGCTGGTGCCTAGAGAAAGAGAGAGAGCTAAAGCTGTCCATTTTGCAGACAGACAGGAGGGAGCCAGGACACAGCTCGGCTTGCTTGTGCTGAGAGAGAGAAAGAGTTAAACTGCTGACCCTGATGGCAGGGGAGAGCCGGCCACGCAGCTGTAATGTGTGGGAGCCGCCAGACTAAGCAGCCAAGACAGGGCGGACAGTGTAAATGAGTTAGTTTGAGTAAGCTGTGTAAGAGAGCTGCTGCTGAATAAAACCATATTCACATGCCTACGCGCCCCCCAGTGTTATATCTGCTCATCCACCCACTGCCCTCAGACTTCAGCATGGGCTGGACACGGACCCTGGGATCTGACAATTGGCAATGAGGATGGGATGAGGTGAGTGGGTCTTCAGTCCCTGAGGTCTCCCGGGTTGGCTATGTGGCCTCAGAACCGGCTGTGGTACCCAGTGGGAGCGGTGCTGCTTGGATGAGCCACAGTGGAAATGTGGGAGGCGGTGGACGGGTCCCCTGTGAGTGTGGAGAAGGTGCTGAAGCACCTGGAAGTACACAGCACCGAGAAGAAGCATCCCTTTACCGGGAGAGTCAGATGGGCGTTTGTAACTGTGCTGCGGGAAGTGCGTGGCCAGTCCTTGCAGAAAGCAGTGCAGGGAGGAGGAAGAACCTCCGTTGCAAGGTTGCCTGGAGCATGAGCAGCTGTTAGGCCCCAAGTGTGGGCCAGATACCCCGCCCCCCCCATGGTGGAACACATTTCCTGTGGTGCCTGTGCCTCCGCTAAGTTGTGGGAGTTAAGCAAGTAATGTCGGCAGTCCTGTACAGACTTAGTGCAAGTCATTCGGGAAGAGGGCATTGCTGCACAATCCGGTCCTGCCCGAGGGACATTCTAGGGGTGGATGTTTTGCCAGTCTTGGCAGCTGTGCCGTCTATCACAGACTTGATGAGCCACAGGAGAACAATGGAACTGGGATGATGCCACTGTGTGGTAAACTTGGCCAATGCATTCCTCTCCATTGATGTCCCTCCAGAGAGCCAGGAATAGTTTGCCTTCATGGGAGAGTGACAATGGACTTGCACAGTGTTGCTTCAGCGCTATGTGTATAGCTCCACCATATGTCATGTTTTTGTTGATGCTGTTATGCTAACCTCTGATTCTGCTGCAGGTTTAGAAGCACCAATGCCCCTCTTTCCTGGAACTGGGATGATGCGGCTGAAACAGCCTTTCTGGTAGCCAGGCAGGCTATTCGGTAGGCACAAGCCCTATGGGTAGTTAACTAGGGGTGCAATTTAAACTAGATGTGCATGTAACCACAAATAGGTTTGACTAGGGCCTATAGCAGTGCATGGAGTGCTTGGAAGCGCCACTAAGCTTTTGGTTGCAACTATGGAAGGGAGCTGAGCTCCAGTTTTCATTAATAAAAAAGCAGTTAGTGATTGTATATGCTCCCCTTCAGGCTCATAAGAGCATGGCCGGATGGGTTACAGTCATCATGTGGACGGCTTACCCGACAGCAGGATGAGTGTGTTCATGGGTAACCATCTCCCCTGACCCCCCAACTGGGAAAGCAGTTAGTGACAGCATATGCTGCACTTCAGGCTCATAAGGGTGTGGCAGGATGGGTTACAGTCATCGTACAGATGACTTACCTGGTAGCGGGATAGGTGTATTCATGGGTATTGACCCCCCAGATAGGGACGGCACAGACATCCACTTTAGTGAAGTGAGGCTCCTACCTAGAACAGTGGAGTACACTAAGTACAAGTCCCTTTGCAGCAGAGTTACAAGAAGTCTTAGGACCTGTAGTCCTAATGCAAGATAAGGCCATGGGGCCTGAGATACCCCTAGACCCTGAGCCTTCACCATTACGGAGGGCATCCCCCCATTCCTAACAGGGCATGGTATACAGATGGGTCTAGCCAAGGTGCTACTGCTGCCTGGACTATTGTCGCAGTCCAGCCTAATACTGACACCATATGGTTTGAAAGCAGGTGTAGACAGAGTAGCTAATGAGCTGAACTCAGAGCAGCATGAATGGTAATCACGACGAGGTGACACCTATGGTAATCTGCCCCAAGAGCTGGACAGTTTATTGAAGCTTATGTATGTAACAGGCCAGTGTGCCCAAAGTTTATCTGTCAGGCTCATGTGTCAAGCCTGTGTGTATATGTTGGGCCTGCATGACTAAAGCATGTGCGTCAAGCCTGTCTACCGGGCTTGTGTGCCCAAACCCTATGTCTCCCTCAACCTAGGGGGTGGAATATAAGGTACATGGACGTGCTTTGGTCAAGGAATAGGCCGAGGCAGATATCCAGCCAGAATGACTCAGCGAGTTTGGCATGCAGGCGCACACCTTCGCTTGTTATATAACCTGTTTGTATAAGTTCATACTTGGCTTGGAGCCACTATTGTCTGTAGATGGTAATTGCTTTATGGATGCTGTGCACGGGGGCTCAGCTTGGCTCAACATGGCTGGGCATGGCTCTTGTGTAGGCACATTGGTGCCCAGAGAAAGAGAGAGACCCAAAGCTGTCCATCTGCAAGATGGACAGGAGGGGCCAGGACACAGCTTTGCTTGTTCGTGCCCGCAGACAGAAGGAGTTAAGCTGCTGACCTTGAAGGCAGGGGAGAGCCAGCTGCGAAGCTGTGTGTGGGAGCCACCAGACTAAGCAGCCGAGACAGGGTGGACAGTGTGAAAGAGCTAGTTAGAGTAAGCTGTGTAAGAGAGCTGCTGCAGAATAAAACCGTATTCACCTGCTCATCCACCCACTCCCCTCCAACTTCAGCATGGGTTGGACCTATATCCTGGGATCTGACATTGCTTGACCCAAATCTTAGAATTTCTAATCCAGGAAGTCTGGGAGAAGCTCAAAAGTGCATTTCTAACAAGTCTCTGGTGATGCTAATGTTTATGGCCTGGGGATCACACTTTTTGGGAAAAATGGATCCAAGCAGTCCAATACAATTACATACCACTAATTATCTAAGCTTCAATTTCTGCAAACCATTGTTTGTTTAGAAATTTACAGGTTTAAATTTCAAGTCACATTTGATTTTTTTGAAAAAATTTTATTTCCATAGGTTTTTGGGGAACGTGTGGTGTTTGATTATATGAGTACGTTCTTTAGTGATGATTCGTGAGGTTTTGGTGCACCCATTACCCAAGCAGTATACACAAGTGTATTTAAAATTTTGTTTTTAAGTCAATGTTAATAACAAAAACAAAAACAAAACAAAAACAATGAAAAATGTAAATATTCACCAGAGTAGAACATAATCATTGGCTGCTTTCTGAATTCATACTCCATAATTTATTTGAGTCATTTAGAAATTAATATGTGGTTGGTTTTTGGTTTATTCAATTTGTTTTGTTTTGCTTAATGACAATCATTTACTTGGAATTTTTTAATTGCTGGCATTTCATGGCTTCATTATTATTGCTTTTATAATAGAATCTCTCTTAAACAACTTTAATGTAACCAACTCACAGAATTAGTCCCCTTTCTTTATTCCCTCAATAAGACATAATGTCTCTATTGTTTTTTTGAACATGTATACTGGGTAAAAAACACACAAAGGGCAGGAGTTGAGGCAAATGTCAAAATCTGAGTAGTTTATAATATAGAATACTGTTTTTGGACAAGCATTATGATTGGCATTGCTTGGCGGCTGCAGTGCTGATTCACAGGTAGGAAGACCCCAGAAAAATAAAAAGACCCTAGGACTTTACTGGAGCTGGTGGAAATATCACAGGGTGACATGTGGATCTTATGGCCTGAGAACAACAAAGGCAGAGACCAGATGCCATTAATTTATATTATGTAAACTATAAAATAGACAAGTCAGTAAGCAATAGTCTATTTCTGAAATAGCACATAAAACTAACTGCAAAACTTATTCTCTCCCCATGTCCTGCTTGGCCACCAATAAAGAAACTACTGAAATTGTTGGAATTTCGTGTTCATTTCCTATATGTGAAAATGTTATTCTCTTAGAATGTTAAAATGTTATGGCCCAAAATTTGTTCATTTTATTGTTGAGAGAAATGTCATTGTTGGAAGAAATTTCATTTATTGATATGTTCATGCATTTGTCACTGTTTTTTTCCTAATTAAAATGCAATCCCTCAACTGTGATAGATTTTTTTTAAACTTGTTTTAATTTGATTAAATATTTCTTTCACTAGAATTTACACTATGCCTCAATTTAGATGAACTGGGATAATTTGTTAATAACTGGACCACTCTGGCAGAACTTGTAAGCATGGATGTTCATCAAAAAGATGATTAGCACCTGGGTAAAACTAAGATTACTGACACAGATGAATGAAAGAGTTAATGGATGATCTATTCTTCAAAGTGACACACTGTAAGTGGCTTAAGAGAATCTAAGAAATTTTATATGGTTTCAATTCTGGCAATGCCAAACAAGCAAACAAACAGGACTCAAGAATAAAAATAGGTCTTGTTTTGGTTATTTGTGTTTAATTTTTCTCAAATTTAGTTGGTAAAGGTAATTGTCTTCATTCCTCACTTCCTAAACAGGACCACCTCATGATCACTAGCCATATATTGTCTCTATAGTTTTGAGGAATAGAATACAATTTTTTCAGTTACCTGGAAACTTCTTTTGTGACTTCTAAGGTAAATATCACTCACTATATAATAAGAGGTGTCTTTTCTCCTTAGAAACACCATTGAAATTGAAGGCAGCTGTTGATCTTC
The DNA here is from genome assembly GCF_000001405.40 of Homo sapiens. NCBI lineage: Eukaryota > Metazoa > Chordata > Mammalia > Primates > Hominidae > Homo > Homo sapiens. The sequence goes on along the minus strand of NC_000011.10, from coordinate 37,903,818 downwards.
CAGCTTGAAATAACTTTTCGTATACACGGAGCCTTCTCATATCCACATGAAACAATATAAACTATTTTCACCTTTCTTATGGATTCCAATTCCAGCTCTGTACTCATTTTCATATGCCCTCTCTGACCCGTTTTAAATTTCTGCACAATTCTCTGGAAATGAAGAGTCTCAGCTTGCTCACATGAATTTAATAAGATCATTAATCATATTGAAAATAACTTGCTTACTATGCTCAGGTTAATCCATTTGGTAACATGCTTGAATATTACATAAACACTGTATGTTAACTACTTTTTTTTTCCTACCGTGATGCTAACTGTTTGATTTGAATGAATAACATGGAAATCCTTTTTCACTGTAACAATTTCATAAATTTGTTAAAGTTATCTCTAAGTTGGAAATATATATGTACAAAGTTTCAAAGAATAAATGTTAGTATAATTCAGAAATAAACAGTTTTTTATAATTTCCAGTGCATTTAATTTCTTTAGTATTTTCTTAACAAAGACCTTTCAAATTATTTCATTTGATTCTTCAAAAAAATCTAGGAGGAGGAATTTCTAACATAATTTTTTTATCAGAAGATTTAGAAAACTTTAGTGATTTAACTTAGCTTATTCATGAATGATAATGAATGGACTGGAGCCTATGTATTAAGACTCTAGATCTCAAACTATTTCCTATAATTTATTTATAATTGTAATTTTATGAATGTGTGTTTATTTTGTGCTTTCTGCTTAAAAGAACCTTGTCCATTGTGAATCTCCATCTACTTTAGAATTAGAAAATGATTTATTATGGAAAAAATACATAAAAATACATATTTAGTTTTTGTTATTCAAAATTGACATATTCAAAATAATACTCTAAAATCCGGTTATGCTTTTCAAGCATATCAAGGCTTGAAATCTTCTGTGCATGCAATTCTCTCATTATGTTAATGATGTTGGGTAATTATTGCTAAGCCAAAATCAGGGGGAAGTAGGACATAATATGGGGAGATGAAAAGCAATGCCTTGGTTGTTACTGGTCAATGCCAACACAGCAAGAAGCACCAGGGTGGGCAAAGAATGTCACAGTAAAGACCAAGGGAGGAAGAGGATTCAGCATTTGAAGACTCTGGTTCTTTCCTTTTATTCTAGCACCAACCAGACACAAAATTTCACATATGCTCCTTCCTAATGCACACATATATACAGCATAATCAAACTATAGTAAAATAAGAAATGATAACTAGTAAAATGTATAATTTTATATAGATGAGATATTATAATTTTAATAGGTTATTTTTTAATGTTAGCGTAAATACATATGACATACAACATGATGTTTTGAATTACATGTACACTATGGAATGGCTATACGCTTTACCTTACATACTTATACATTTGTGGTAAAAACACATAAAATCTACTCCATCAGCATTTGTATGTACGCAATACATTGTTATTAACCATAGTCCTTGTGTTATACAATGAATCTCTTGAATTTTTTGCTCCTGTCCAATTGTAATTTTGTATCCTTTGGTCATGTCTCCAAAATCTCACTTGGCATCCCAGATCCTAGCAAACACCATTTTAATCTCTGCTTCTACAATTTCAATTTTTTTTTTCTTTGCCAAGTAAGGTCATGTAGTATTTGTCTAACTGTGCTTGGCTTATCCCAATTATAATGCCCTACAGATTCATCTATGTTGCTGAAAATGATGTAATTTGCTTTCTTTGTAAGTCTGAATATTATTTTACTGTGTATGTATACCACATTTTCTTTATCCATTCATGTATTGATGGAAATCTAGGTTGATTCCATATGAGAGAGTATGTAATTTTATTTTCTAGATTCTGCTATTTCAATTGCATACTGAAATTTAGTTTAAAACAAATGGAACACATAATTCTTTTTTCTATCCACAGTGGGTGTAATTTGTCAGAAATATTGTAGTAATCACTGAAGAAGTAAAAACATGTATTTTCTCCATATACCCAAAAGGTATTAAGAGTAGAATGTCATAACCTTATTAAAACTACTACTAATAATGCTTATAGAAAAAAGCAAATCTAAACACACAGAAGTGTATTGGTGGTTGCCTGGGGCTAGGAATGTATACAGAGAAAAATGGGTACAAGGAATTTTGTTGTATGTTAAAAACTTTCAAAATTATGATAATGATTGCACAATTCAGTAAAGTTAAAAAATACCATTCAGGCCATAGGCATGGGCAAGGACTTCATGTCTAAAACACCAAAAACAATGTCAACAAAAGTCAAAATTGACAAATGGGATCTAATTAAACTAAAGAGCTTCTGCACAGCAAAAGAAACTACCATCAGAGTGAACAGGCAACCTACAAAATGGGAGAAAATTTTCTCAACCTACTCATCTGACAAAGGGCTAATATCCAGAATCTACAATGAACTCAAACAAATTTACAAGAAAAAGACAAACAACCCCATCCAAAAGTGGGCAAAGGATATGAACAGACACTTCGCCAAAGAAGACATTTATGCAGCCAAAAGACACATGAAAAAATGCTCATCATCACTGGCCATCAAAGAAATGCAAATCAAAACCACAATGAGATACCATCTCACACCAGTTAGAATGGCGATCATTAAAAAGTCAGGAAACAACAGGTGCTGGAGAGGATGTGGAGAAATAGGAACACTTTTACACTGTTGGTGGGACTGTAAACTAGTTCAAGCATTGTGGAAGTCAGTGTGGTGATTCCTCAGGGATCTAGAACTGGAAATACCATTTGACCCAGCCATCCCATTACTGGGTATATACCCAAAGGACTATAAATCATGCTGCTATAAAGACACATGCACACGTATGTTTATTACAGCACTATTCACAATAGCAAAGACTTGGAACCAACCCAAATGTCCAACAATGATAGACTGGATTAAGAAAATGTGGCACATATACACCATGGAATACTATGCAGCCATAAAAAATGATGAGTTCATGCCCTTTATAGGGACATGGATGAAATTGGAAATCATCATTCTCAGTAAACTATTGCAAGGACAAAAAACCAAACACCGCATGTTCTCACTCATAGATGGGAATTGAACAATGAGAACACATGGACACAGGAAGGGGAACATCACATTCTGGGGACTGTTGTGGGGTCGGGGGAGGTGGGAGGGATAGCATTAGGAGATATACCTAATGCTAAATGATGAGTTAATGGGTGCAGCACACCAGCATGGCACATGTATACATATGTAACTAACCTGCACATTGTGCACATGTACCCTAAACTTAAAGTATAATAATAATAATAATAATAATAATAATAATAATAATAAATGTACAGTAAAATAAAAAATACATTTTAAGTGTGCTGATTGGAGAAAGATACATTTAAAATATTTAAGTGAGATGAATTTTAAGTTAAAAAATGAAGTTGTTTTATATTCACCTAATTATTCGTCCTTCTACTGTCTAAAATAGTAGCTTGAACATAGTTGTGTTGCCATCTGTCCTGCAGACTCTGGCCAAGCTACAGATGAAAGGAGTGTGCTGACACAGGTATTTTGCCTGACAGCATGTCTAGGGGACTGCCACATCTCAGCACATCTCTGCACCAATGATGAGAGAGTGCAGCAGCCAAGGAGAGTGCAGTTTCCCTAAGGTGGTGATGCTTGCATTTATTTAGTGCAGATTTAATGACAAAGGCTTGGAGCACACACAGTTTGTGGGTAATAAACATTGTCGACCCCCCCAAGTAGAGAGCAGTCCTGTGCAGGAATGATCAAAGATTGGTTTCTGGAGACAGGAGTAAACAAGTTTATCTAGATAAGTTCCTTTACATTCCCTTGTTATCCGCTCTTTGCTCTCAGCCTTCTGATAAGAGAATTTGGCTGCCTTCAGCCAAATTCTTTCTTGAAGTTTTTGCAAAACCTCCCGGCCTTCCAAGAAGGTTTGCATTCTTTCCTATAACATTTTCTTGCAACTTTTCCCACCACCCTGACCAATCTCCTACATGGTGTTTATTAAATGTTTTTGAACAATTAAAGCAAAGAGTGGTAAAGGAGGAGGGAGGGCAGGAGAAAAAAAAGAAGGAAGAGATGAAGGGAAGGGAAAAAATAGCAATATTTGTTATTCATCCTTCCAGTCATTTTTCTATTAGAAATCTACTCATTCTCCCTTAAACACATAAATAAAACCTATTATCATATACACATTTATTTTACAAAAATGGCAATGCATTGTACATTTTAGTTAGCATTTTTTTGTACATCAGAATATATTTGTGTCAGTACAGACAACTCTAAAATCTTCCTTTAGTACCTGCACAGTCTACCATAATATAATTGGATGTTAATTTATTTGATAATTTCCTTGTCTTATTATTAAAAATAAACATCCTTGTATACATATTCTGGCATCATTTTGTGTTTTGATGAATTAGAATCTTGAACCTAAGATTGATGACCTTAAAAATAATGATTTAAGAAATAATGACTTAATCATCTAAGATTGATGATCTAAGAAATAATTATCTCATGCTGACTGCAGTTAACAATAATATATTGCATATTTAAAATTTGCTAAGGGTAGATTTTAAGTCTTCTCATCCCCAAAAAATACGTATGTATGTGAAGTAATACTTATGTTAAATAGTTTGGTTTGTCCATTTACAATGTGTGTATGTGTGTGTGTGTGTGTATACACACATGTATACACAGTCATGACAAACTGACTTCAAAAGTGTGTTCAACAATAGAATATGTAAATAAATTTTTCCTTACAGCTTTGACAAGTTGAAAACATGTTTGAGTCAAAAAATTATCATTATTTGCCTTTAAAATTTATGTTTTTTTTTCTGTTAAGAAGTTCTTTTCTACCCTAACAGTATTAAAAATACTCAAATACTTTCCTATCTTTTTATGTAATAATGTTTGAATTTTGTTTGTATTTATAACTTTATTATAAAATTTAGACTATTAAAAGATAAGAATTTTTCTTTCAAATGGATAAATAATTTGACATAATAGTCTCCTTTTTGCAATTGGTTGAAAACTCTATCTTTGTAATTGTGGTAGCTTCTTAATGTGGAAATTTGACTAAACTGAAACTATTCTTCCCAGAATCCTGCTCTCTGTATTGCTGCAAGATTGAGTTGGGGAAAAAAATGTCAAGAATTGACAGAAGACATTAAATAGCAACGATTATGTTCCAAAGATCTCCACAGGTAGAGGTAGTGAGAGGCAGACAGAAATGTCTGTAGGTTTCAAATGTCCTCATTTTTCTTACTTGTTCAATGTTTTCATTCCCATTTTGGTTCAGGAGGATGCAGTAAATGTTCTTAAACAGGGACCAGTAAATTTTGCTATTTGTCCAACATCCAGAATTCACCAGTTCAAGAATAAAGGTGTAGAAATGAGAGTGGCTCCTGTATTAGTGGTAATATGAGAAAGTAGTTCAGGAGCTCTACTGAGGAAATGTAAAGGGGAAGCTTTTATAGGATGGACCTGGAAGTAAAGTAAAACAAAGATTTGATTAGTCACAATTTTGCAGTTGTCTCATCTGGTCTATTCCATTGTAAGGTTCCTAGTTACATCAGTTTATTGGCAATATCTTAATGTTTGCATTACAGTTTTGTTTTTCTTTAATATAGACATTTACAATAAATGGCTGAAGTTAAGCTTTGCTTATGTTTTCAAATAAAGCAAGGTTGAGGTCACTTATGAGGCCTAATGGTTTCGTCTGCTCAGGAATTCTTCAGGCCTGTTATCCATTTTAATTTCCTTTAACAATTCTTAACAAATTTCTTCATATAGATGATATATTATTATTCCTTAGCATAATAGTACAATTGTTGGTTGCCTCTTGTGGCAAATTGTACTATATTTGATAGTGTCCCTGCAAAATTCATGTCCTTCCTGGAATCTCACAATGTGACCTCATTTGGAAACAGGGTCATTGCAAATGTAATCAATTAAGATGAGAGCATACTGGATTAGTGCAGGCCCTAATTCAATATGACTGGTGTTTTTATAGGACAAGAGCAACTTGTACACATACAAACAGAAAGGAGAATGCCACGTGAAGACACTGTGTCAGACATACACCAGGGGGAATGAGTGTGAAGACAGAGGCTAAGATCACAGGGATGCAGCTACCAGCCAGTGGACACCAAGGACTGCTAGAAACCTTCAGATGCTAAAAGTCAAATCACGGAATCCAATTCTCTCAGAACCTCCAGTGGGAACCAACACTGCCAACAACTTGATTTTGGACTTTTAGCCTCCAGAACTTAAGATAAATGTATTAGTCCGTTTTCATGCTGCTGATAAAGAAAAACCCAAGACTGGGCAATTTACAAAGAAAGAGGTTTGTTTTGACTTACAGTTCCACGTGGTTGGGGAGGTCTCACAATCATGGCAGAAGGTGAGGAGGAGCAAGTCACATCTTACATGGATGGTGGTAGGTAAAGAGAGAGCTTGTGCATGGAAACTCCCATTTTTAAAACCATCAGATCTCTTGAGACTCATTCACTATCACGAGGACAGCACAGGAAAGATCCACCCCTATAATTCAATTACCTCCCGCCAGGTCCCTCCCACAACACGTGGGAATTCAAGATGCAATTTGTTTGTGGACACAGCCAAACCATATCAATAAATGGTTGTTTTAAGGCACCACATTTGTGGTAATTTTGTACAGCAGCCTCTGAAAATCTAATACAGTGTCTCCGCACTTTATCAGTGCTAATCAATCACTTTGAAATACGTATTTTTCATTAGGGAATATCATATGCTAACTCACTCTCCTTTGGATAAAAACCAACTATCAGACTGTTTATGCCAAAACATTTAAGTTATATATAGTGTAATAACTTCCCGTAGAGAATTGCTCATTATTTCTTTCAGGATTCCTCTTTTTCAGGAGAAGCTAATGCCAACTCTAGAACAAGAGAGATGGACCGTAAAGTTCAGGATAGCCAGTCAAAGCATTTCACCCCACAGCTGCAATGATGACTGCAAAGGTGTTATATTAGTTTTCTATTGCTGCTCTAATGCATATCACAAACTTAGTGGTTTACCACAATATATATTTATTATATTACAGTTCTCAAGGTCAGAAATGTAGATCTAAAACCAAGGTTTAGTAGTTGAGGTTGCATTACTTTCTGAAGGCTCTTGTGAAGAATCTGTCTTCTTCCATTTTTAGCTTCTAAAGGCTGCCCATATTCCTTGCCTCCTGGCCCTGGCTATCTTCAAAGTGAGCAATGGAGTTTTCTTCATTGCATTACTCTAATAATGAATCTTCTGACACCTCCATTCACATTTAAGGACCCTTGTGATTACATTGGGAACAGCTAAATAATCCAGGGTACTCTTCCTATTTTAAGGTCAGCTGCTTAGCTACTTTAATTCCATCCACTATTTTAATTCCTCTTTACTATGTAATGGAACATATTCACAGGTTTTAGAAATAAGGATATGGACATCTTTGGGAAGCCATTATTCTGCCTATAACAATTGATTGGCCTAAATTAGTCCAATTAGACCTATTCTAAGAATGTTGAGCAGAAGACATTGTATCTGTACTGCTGGACAAAAATGAGGAACTATACAGCCCTAGAATTTGCTGACATCCATCTTAGTGGTAAAAGAGGAACCAGACTTATGATCAAGATAATAAAATTCAAAGGATACAGAAGTGTAAATTAATTTTTTAGGTAATATCACCAAGCTACTATATTAAGTTTCATTTGAAGTTCTCCTTAATTTTAGTATTTTCAAGTATTTTACACAAAAATTTGTCATTTCCAAAGAGGCAGCTTGAGCGAGGTCTTACAATATGTACAAAAAGCCATCATATTTGATACATTTGTTGTTTTTATAGTTTCTGTCTTTAATGTTACTGAGATCTGTGCTCTCATTTTTTAAGTTGGTCATTGCTGTCATATAGGAAATTAGTACTTTCTAAATGATTACCCTATTTAATTATTCTAATTCTAAATAGTGTATCATTTTATTTCTTTGAAATTTTGGCTGATAAATTTAGAAACTATAAGTAACAATAATTCTGACTGTTTCTTCTCAATATTAATATCTCATTTTTTAATATTAGCTAAAATTTTCAAATCTATGCTTTAAGTATTTCATATGTAGTCCTGAGTTCAAAAGTTAAAACCTGTGCATAGTTTCTAAGAAAAAAAATATAAAGTCCAGGTTTAAAAATATATTTCCCTTGGAAAAATATTCTATCAAACAATGTTGATCCTATCAAATATATGGTATCACTTCAAAATCTAAAAATCCACATAATTTGGACCTTAAAAATAAACCATCAAATATTCTACCCTGGAGAGTAAATTATTTTATGACTACATGAGTCAATAGGCCAGGTTAGAAACTGTAGTATGTCCATCTGTGTAAATGCTGAATGAGGTAGCCAGAAAACACAAGAAACCAGAGAGTTCAATGGATGAACTGGGGCTTATAACAATTAACAACTACTGTCATGGTATCCATGCTAATTAACTCACCATTATTGATTATTTTTCATTATGAAGGAATAGCCTTCTATTGAAAGTTTGAATAAATAATTTGTGAAAACTAAGAGTAGTTGGATCTTGAAGTACCAGAGGAAGAGAGGGCATTTTTCTTTGCCTTTCAGCTTTACTCATTCAGCCCTGTATTTTTGGCTTCTTGTGTTCTTATGCTCCTCGAATCTCAAAATCCTCACTTCTTTGTATTTAAAAGCTATTTAACAAGCAGTCCCACAACACTTTAAAGCAATCTGCTTTATTAAAAAATTTCTAAATGAGATATTTTGTTATTTATTTCCCTTTTTTCTGAGCCCAAACAAAGTCAATGTCTTTTCCCTAGGATCTTTGTAAAAGTTCTCAGATAAGTTTCTTTCTTAATTCAGATTTCTTTCAGACTTCTAGTAGTTCACATGTTGACTCATATGGAGAATCCTGCTTAATGTCTTGTTCTGATTCCTCAGCTGAACTGAAGCAGAACACCGAAGACTCGGAGACGTTTTCGCTGTGAACAGCCAATCATGCCCTCCTGAGTTTTGGTTGCTTCTTTTATTTCTCAGACAAATATTTCATTTCAGCAGTGCTGTGTATTCCACACACCTGACCTAGCCATATTCTGATTTTCTTTCTGCTGTCTTTAAAGGCAATGCAGAATATCCTCCCAAAGGACTCAGTGGAATGCCAGAAGCACTATTATTTCAAAAGCATATTTGCCTCCACTCTATAGGTCTGAAATTAGTTATGCTTCTTAAAAACTACCATAGTCAGAACTAAAAAAAAGAGTTGCTCAGGTGGTAATGTAGTATGATGGTAAGTTTTGTGTATTTTATCAGTTACTAAAAAAGTCTAAGAACCAAATATTATTATTTTCTCCATTTTTTAAATGCATCACAAAATAAACAAACCAATTAATTTACATCTATTGGATATTGAAATAAGATATTAAGGAATCTATCTAAATCTGATTAAGTCCACACATAATATTTATGAATCTCTTTTGAAATGAATGGACTCTAATTAATCTTTGGACCCATTGCCCAGTGAAAGTTGGCTGAATCATGAGAAACAGGTTAGAGCAAAGTTTGGCTATATGGAAACTGATCTTTATGCTATATATTTGTATGGTTTTATCTTAATTGCTAATCATAGTCTACTGAAAATGACTACTGAGGGCACTGAGGGAAGCATTCTGAGCCTGAGAACTAACAGGCTGGAATTTAGTAGGAATAAATGCTGTGAGATTCCATTTTGCATTTCCATTTTGGGAGAGGAAGGAAAGGCATGGATGCTGTTTATTTGCCATTCTTGGTTAGAGGAAGTAAATAGACACCTGGAGTCAGGATAATGAATAACTAGATGCCGGCCCATGGATAAGTGGATTTACCTCTGTTTCTTCATCTGTAAAGTAAGGATATTGTATAAGGCAATTGTTTAATCTTTCTTGCTGCTTAATTGTCTGACTTCCAATATTTGGAGGAAGAAAAGTTGACTAAACATAAAGCACTATAATACAGTTTTTCACATCCATTTGTGCCTTTCATGTTTAGTTTAAATGTTTATTGCTATGTAATTAAAAATAGCATATAATAAAATTTTCTTAAATAAAGTAGTAAAATTTTCTAGATATGAAGAACCCCTACATCAATGACAATCATATGATGCCCATTTTTGGTATGGCTCATTTCCTCTATTTTTAGGTCAGCTGTAGACATGTATCTACATGTCATTTGCTTCTGTTTTTAGAAAGAATAGTCAATGTAATTTTTTAATGTGATATGAGTGCATGCATGTGTATCCACAAGCATGTATGCATATGCACATATGAAATTATTAGCTCTAGAAAGAATCTGCTTAATGGACCGATATTGTTTGCATTTGTGTCCCTGACCAAATCTCATGTTAGAATTGTAATATCCAATGTTGGAGGAGGGGCCTGGTGGGAGGTGATTTGGATCATGGGGATGGACTTTCACCTTGCTGTTCTCATGATAGTGAATGAGTTCTAATGAGATACGGTTGTTTAAAAGTGTATAGCATGGTCTTCCTCTTGCTCCAGCCGTGTGGGACATACCTGTTTCCCCTTTGTCTTCCACCAAGATTGTAATTTTTTTGAGGCTTCTCCAGCCATGCTTCCTGTGCAGCCTGTGGAAACAAGAGCCAATTAAACCTCTTCTTCATAAATTACCATTTCTCAGTTATTTCATTTTAGCATTGTGAGAATGGACTAATACAGTAAATTGGTACCATGAGTGGAATACTGCTATAAAGACACCTGAAAATGTAGAAGCAGCTATGGAACTGGGTAATGGGCAAAGGTTGGAAGATTTGGAGGGCTCAGAAGAAGACAAAAAGTTGACAGAAAGTTTGGAACTTTCTAGATGCTTGTTAAAATGCTGTGAGCAAAAGGCTGAGGAGGTCTCATATGGAAATGAAGAACTTATTGGAAACTGGAGTGTATTAGTCCATTCTCACACTGCTATAAAGAAGTACCTGAGACTGAGTACTTTATGAAGAAAACAGGTTTAATTGACTCCCAGTTCTTCAGATTTAACAGGAAGCATAACTGGGAGGCCTCAGGAAACTTACAAATGGCAGGAGGTGAAGGGGAAGCAAGCACATCTTACCATTATGAAGCAGGAGGGAGAGGGAGAAGGGGGAAGTGCCACACACTTTTAAAACATAAGATCTTGTGAAAATTTACTCATTATCATGAGGACAACAACAAGGAAATCCACCCCCATGATCCAATCATCTCCTACCAGGCTCCTCCTCCAACATATGGGGATTACAACTCAATATGTGATTCGAGTGGGGACACAGAATCAAACCATATAATGGAGCAAAGGTTACTTTTGTTGTGCTTTAGTAAAGAGGTTGGAGGCATTGTATCCCTGGCCTAGAGATCTGTAGAACTTTGAACTTGAGAGGGATAACTTAGGGTATCTGGTAGAAGAAATTTCTAAGTAGCATAGTGTTCAAAATGTGACCTGGCAGCTTCTAACAGTGTATGCTTATATGCATGAGCAAAGAGATGTTCAGAAATTGGAAATTATTTAAAAGTGAAGCAGAGCATAAAAGTTTGGGAAATTTGCAGACTGACCTTATGGTAGAGAAGAAAAACACATTTTCAGGGGAAGAATTCAAGCTGGCTACCAAAATTTGAATAAGTAGAAAGAAGATGAATGTTAATAGCCAAGACAATAAGAAAAATGCCTCAAAGCTATTTCAGGAATGTTCATGGCAGTCCCTCTCATACTGGGCCCAGATGCCTAGGAGAGAAGAATGGTCCCCCTGCTCTGTTCAACCTTAGGGTACTGATCTCTGAGTCCCAGCCACTTCCAGCTTCAGTTGTGGCTAAAAGGGCCCCAAATACATCTCAGGCCACTGCTAGAGAGGATGCAAGACATAAGCCTTGGTGGTTTCCATGTCATATTAAGCCTGCAAATGCACAGAGAGCAAGAGTTAAGCCTTGGGAGCTGATACAGTTTGGCTGTGTTCCCACCCAAAATCTCATCTTGAATTGTAATATACATAATCTCCATAATCCTCATGTGTCAAGGGCAGGACCAGATGGAGGTAATTGGATCATGGGGGTGGTTTCCCCCATGATGTTATTCTGATAGTAAGTGAGTCTCACAAGATCTGATGGTTTTATAAGCATGAGGCATTTTCCCTTCTGGCAGTCATTCACTCTGTCTTGCCACCCTGTGAAGAAGGTGCCTGCTTATCCTTTGCCTTCTGTCATGATTATAAGTTTCCTGAGGCCTCCCCAGCAATGTGGAGCTGTGAGTCAATTAAACCTTTTTCCTTTTTAAATTTCAAGTCTCTGGTACCTTTTCATAACAGTGTGAGAATGGACTAATAAAGAGCCTCTGTCCAGATTTCAGAGGATGTATGGAAACCCCTGGATGTCAAGGCAGAAGTCTGCTGCAGAGGCAGAGCCCTCATGGAGAACCTCTATTAGGGGAATACAGAAGGTCAAATGTGGGATTGGAACCTCCTCACAGAGTTCCCACTGGGAAGTTTCCACAGAGTTATCCCCTGCCTAGTGGAGCTGGGAGGAGAGGGCCACCATCCTCCACACCCTAGAATGGTAGATCCACCAACAGCTTTCACTATGCTCCTTGAAAAGCCCCAGGCACTCAACATCAGTCTATGAAAGCAGAAATAAGATTTGAGGATGAAGATGACAAAAGATTTTTTTATTAAATATATTTATTTAGATTTAATTTCAGTGAGACAGAGAGTTCTTATCATAGCAAAGTAAACAGTTTTTAACAACAAGGAAACTAATATGATTATTGAATATACTTTCAAACACTTAAAGCCTTTTATGCTCTATTATCTTAATAATCCATCTGAATAACAAAAATGAATGTAGGGGAATTTTCTAAGTATTCCACTAAACTACCACTTAGACTTGTCAATATTACTGAGTAACATTCAAATTATTTATTCCCAAATTTGCACTCCCATAACTCCAATCCTAGCTTAAGTCACCATCAATTACTGTATGGACAGTTAATAATTTTCTAGTTGTTCTGCTAACTTATAGTTTTCCTGGAAATCCTATTCACTTTATAACTTTATGAAGCAAAATTCTGATTATATTACACACTCTGTTTATCAAAAACCACCACATTACCTACAACTTATAGCAAACTTGAATTCACTTCAAGAGTAAATCTACATATTTTTAGAGACTGAAGCTTATATGGTGTAGGAGGATCTTCTTAAAATCAGGTATAAATGTATTTTTTGAGAAAAAATAGAAATTCACAAAAAAACACAAATTAAAAAATCTAACAAATATCACAAAATCTAAAAATTTGTTCATATTTATTAATAAACTTTCATATGAAGCTATGACATATTTTCCATTTACTAGATACTCTTTGCCTTTTTCATTTGGCAAAGATTTTTATTACATAGCTTTCCAAAGAGAGAATACGAAGATATTTGTCTTTCTTTTAGTATAGGATTTTGAATAGGAAAAATAATGCATATTTGGTAGGGTCAAAGGTCACATATACATGTGAACAAATCTTACCATGCCTAATAGTGCAAGTAAGTAGGGAATGAAAGTTATACACACATGACAATATATTAGGATTACATCCACACATGTACACATACACATATGCACATACACACACAAAATTTAAATTAATAATGAATATATCCCCAACTCAATTTCCTTTTGTATGGATTTCATAACTTTGCCATCATGTAATATATGAAGAAATGCAACAGAGGAGAAAATCAGAGTGGAAAAATACACTATTCTAATCAATTGTTATTAAAGATGTTAAACCTTTGTAAATTAACCAAAAACCCACACAATTTTGTGAATATATTTTTAGTATCCCTCCATTGGGGGGCCCTGAATCTAAAATTTCACTCACAGTGTAGAAAATCTACCTATGAATAGTCATATATTATGAGTAATTCAAAGCTTTTTTTTTTCTGCAATAGGGCCTGAAACAAAACTTTCATACATTTCTTTCAATATTCCCCTTTGCACATTAATTTTCTTTACTCCCCCTCCAAACAATACTGTTGATCTTCAAAAGTGCTAACTACTCTCAAACTACTGAAATCAAACCATGCTCTTTGCTTCAGCTAAACACTCTGCCCTGTTCTTCAAGGCCCTCCTCTTTATGATCTATTTTTTTAATTAATGGAGAAAATAATATTTTTATCCGTTGGTCACAGAAAGCAAGCTCTTACCAAATTGTTTATTGTTATTTAGATCATATTTATTAAATAGATTGTCATACTTGTATTATTTAATCTCTCCCAGACTGGTTTTGAGATTGATTTTTCTTTGAATTCCCCTTAAAGATTTAGGAGACAGTGAACAAGGTTTTAAATCAATGAACACAATAAATTCTCCATTCTACTTGACCAGTAATAAAAAATATCTTATGTCCCATAAATTCTGGTTTGAACACATTGTCTTTAACAATAACAAAAAAAACACCATAAAAGTAAATTAAAAAATATTATTTAGTCTATATCTTAAACAAATAGGCAACATATATTTTATTAAAGTGCACCTTCTCCTAGTTGCCCAGAATTGAAAATAATTTCTTTTTATAATGAAATAGAAAGGAACACATTTATCTTAGTGGAATTTCTAAAGTATTTCACATATCTGTGTAATAATTTGTTATTCAAATAGAAAATTAAATGCAAACAGATGAGATAAAAAAATTAACATGTGTATTTCTAATGGTTTACAGAGCGTGAGATATTGGGGAGACCACATTTAGATTTCATTTCCATAGTTTTCTGCACAATTTCCTCAGATCCCAAGAAAGTGATCTGCAGGGTGGAGAAGCAGATGGAAGGGAAAGACTGTGCCATGGAGCGTGGTGGAGAGGTTTGGCCACACAGCAGAATTGACTCTCCCTAGGGCCTTTTCTCCTAAACTTCATTTTCACTTGAAAGACAGCAAAACTGAACAGTGACTTTAGTCTAGGACACCTTCAGCTAAGATGCTGAGATTCTATTAGCATTTTTATAGCTGCCCACTAGAAGTTTGCATGAATATGAAGTTAAAGGATGTTGTAGTCAAATTTCCCCCAATAAATCAGACATAACACTTTGATCCAGTACCTTCAGTGTTTATGATCCAGTACCTTCAGTGTTTAACTACGCCTCTTTGAGATTGTAAAATTGCATTTTTACCTCTAGCTGAGAATCAGAATTGTATTGTTATTTTTTGTTTTTAATTTGAAAGAAACCATTTTATAAGGGCACAGCACATTTTAAATGTGCTTTCCTTTAACAAAATAAAGGCAGCATACATTTTGGTAACCCCATAGAGTAACATAGGTCCTGGAATAAATCTTCTTTCCTTTATAATGAATGCTTAATTTGAAATGTGTACATTAAATGAAATGTGCCTTCCAAGCTGTGCAGCACAACTTAAAATACCTCCATTCATTGTCTTTGCTCCTCACCTCTTTGATCTTTTGCTTCACGACTGGTCATCTGTAATAAGGGACTTACAGAGACTGAGAGGGGATCTCAGAATGTCTTAAAGGTAAAGGAGAATGACTTGGTTCACCATCTACTCTTCACCCAGCTTTGCTGGATGAGAGTCTGGCCTCAAATACACATTTCCTTGTTCTAGTTGGTTTCTGTTTCCCCTTTCCTAATTGTTAATTTTTCCTTTCTCTTTTAATCTTGTTACTTTGAGCTATAATTTATGGATTTTCACACAGTTATTTTTTATCTTTAAAGAATCTCATGATCCAACAACTTTCTATCTTTACGTTCTTAGCCTGGGATAAGCAGTGTGAGCACTCGTGTGGGTATAGGTTATATGACCTTCTAGTCCATTCAGAAGACAAAAGAAGTTCAGCCAATACATCATCCTGGATTAGGAATCAGGAATTTTCAGTTGAGCCTCTAAGCAATTCTTTATTCTCAGTGTCCTCCTTCATCCTAGTGTCTATCTTTATGCTCTTTAAAGATCATGACACACAAAATAATATTGTTTTTCCATAACTATGGATCCAAAATTAGAAAATTGCTCTGGAATCATGCCATCTTTCTAAAGAATGTGCATGTAGACAGGTGGAATTCATTCAGAGAACTGGCCTGTCAACGTAGGTGAAACTTTATGAAAGCAACAAATGATCATCTTCTATTATGTGATCCACATCTACCTAATCCCTATAGCATAGTGAAATCATGGCACTGATTTATTCTTTCTTTAGTATTCATGTGAATGGACTCCTGCTCAAATACAACATTTATGATTAGCCTTCTAACGCCCTCCCACAGATATCTCAGGATTCTAATTCTATGTTAACTGATTGATATGGCCTGGCTGTGTCCCCATCCAAATCTCATCTTGAATTGTAGTTCCTATAATCCCCACCTGTTATGGGAGGGGCCTGGTGCCAGATAATTGAATCATGGAGGTGGTTATTCCCATGCTGCTGTTCTCTTGATAATGAATGAGTTCTCACAAGATCTGATAGTTTCATAAAGGGCTTTCCCCTGTTTTGTTCAGCACTTCTCCTTCCCACCATCATGTGAAGAAGGACATGTTTGTTTCCTCTTCTGTCATGATTGTAACTTTACTGAGGCCTCTCCAGCCATGACGAACTGTGAGTCAATTAAACTTCTTTTTTTTATAAATTACCCAGTCTCTTTTATGTCTTCATTAGCAGCATGAGAATGGACTAATACACTTATAGATACAGGAAAGGAAAGTAATAATAGTAACAATATCAACCATGAAAGCAATATTAAAAAGATTTCTCATTTATGTTATTCTTCTAAATGAAAGAAAAGAACATTTGAGGTGAATAGACAGCTAACAGCTCAGACTTAACCTTCCTTAGCTATCCATTTAGGTATATCTTTTAAGAAAACAATATAAAAAATGATAACCACAAAAGAGTCTACAATACAATCTAATCCATTATCAGCCACATTCATTGTAAGAAAGGACCTCTGAATCAAAAGTATGGAAGATTTGGTTGTGAAACAGGTAATTCATATTATATGTGCTTTTGAAATACTGCACCCCAGTAGTAGGATTTTGTCTCAGAAACAGGGCTGACAATGCATGCATTAGTAATATAATAAACAATATTTCAACCTCTAACAAGCCTCAAACTATGCTTCCTTCTCTGATAACAATTTCAGTTTTGGTACTGGCAGGTGTGATTGTACTAGACTGTTCCTCATTCTTACCCATAATTAACTGGAGCAGTGCTGACACCTGATAAAAAAAAATTATCAATACTGTGCTTTCATCTAATACTCTTGAATTAAGATCAAATGACTCTTTAACTATACTGGTCTTTCACTTAAACTGGGGTAAAGTGAGAGTTGGAACTAAGGCTGCCATTGTTGTGCACCTCTTTTGAAAATAAAAGTAGAAGTTAATGAACAAATAAAAACAACTCCTGTACCAGTAATTTCATGTCAAAAAAATTTCTGATGTATCTATTAAAAAATACATCCATTACCTTATTCTTATTATCATTCATATTCATTTTGTTCGAATGGACTTTAGTATGTTAATAGGGGATAAAAGTCTATACGATAATGGAATAAGGTACAAAAGCCATATCTTGTATCCTGACAGTTGTCTAGTCCAAGAAGTTCACAGATACCTTTCTCAGTCCTGTTCTTATCCATTTCTGGGTAGTTTTCTTGCTATTAGTGAGTTTACTTTATTTACTATTTATTTTTTGTTTTTATTTTTATTTATTTTTTTTTTGAGATGGAGTCTCACGCTTTCTCCCAGGCTGAAGTGCAGTGGCACGATCTCGGCTCACTGCAACCTCCATCTCCCAGGTTCAAATGATTCTCCTGCCTCAGACTCCCAAGTAGCTGGGACTACATGCACACACCACCACACCCAGCTAATTTTTGTATTTTTTAGTAGAGACGGGATTTCACCATGTTGGCCAGGATGGTCTCGATCTCTTGATCTTGTGATCTGCCCACCTCAGCTTCCCAAAGTGCTGGGATTACAGGCATGAGCCACCGCGCCCAGCCTAGTTTGTTTACTTTAAATCTGGTCATCTGGAGTATATTTTTTCCGATAGAGCATAAAATACAAAAAGAATGTCTAAGTTTGGCACAAGTTGTCTCAAATATATAATTTCCTCAATAATTCAAATTTCAGCAAACAAAAATTATGGAAATACTTTGGGCTCCCTGAAGTGCTAAAGGTAAAATCCTTAGCACTTTGGATATGAGGATTGAAGAACAGAAAGATGTTTGGGAGGGAGGAAAAAATATTTAGTCAAATCCATCTATCTGCCCAAGAGCATAGGGCTGAGCTGTGATTGAATTAAAAATACTGTTTGGGAAAGTGAGGAATAGTCATTAGCTGAAATTATACCTGAAATTTGGAATAGTCAGGAAAAGTATTCGAAATTTAGAAAGGCAGTATGGTAAAGTAGAAGATAACTTGCAATTACCAAGCTTCTATTTTCAACCAATTGACATTGTCATATGACTCTCATATCTTTTTACGGATACTTTCAATTGGTTGAAAATAGGAGCTTGGTAATTGTGAGTTGTCAATAGGTTCCTGTCAATAACTTCTACACAGCATCAACTCTGTTTTATCAGGGATCAATCGAGAAGACCCTTGCAGCCTAACTTTTGATAAAGTAACATCAGTTTCAGAAATCTCACCCTTCCTATTTGTCTATATCTCAGTGATGAACCTGGCCTATAGAATAAATTAAATCTAGTGACTTTCAAACAAATAGACCCAGATGTACTAAATGCAGTTCAAGGAAAATTAGGTCTTTTTAGCAATATATAAAACCAATAAAAAGTATGAAATTACTTTAGCGATATATTAGATAAACAGATATCCATAAATGCAATGGTAGTGATTAATGCTATGGGCTCTTGGGACCATATTTGCTATGTTTTATCTTCAGTCCTATGATTTGCCAGTATATATGAACTTGGGTACATTATGTAACTTATCTGTTCTTATTTCTTCATTTGAAAATATTCCCTATAAAAATTAAATGATTTAATACTTATGAGCCATTTAGCACTGTATACATATATTTTAGGTACTCGGTTGCCATTTTAGCTGTTATTATTGAAATTTATTACTAGATACTGTTATATTCTGAAAGTTTGTGTCCCCACCAAATTCACAGGTGGAAATCTTCACTTCAAATGTGGTGTTAGGAGGTGGGACCTTTAGTGGGTGAAGATTAGGTCATGGGGGCAGAACCCATGTGAATGGATTAGTGCTCTTATCAAAGAGGCCTAAGAGAAACCCATTTTCTGTTCTTACATGTGAGGTTAGAGAAAAGAGCTATTGACAAGAAAGTGGGCAATCACCAGGCACAAAATCTGATGGAGCCTTGATCTTAAACTTTCTGGCCTCTAGAACTGTGAGAAATAATTTTTGTTTGTAAGCCATCCAGTTTATGGTTTTTGTTACAGTAGCCTGAATGAACAAGACAGGTATGCATTTTCATAAGTAAAAATATCAGATATATTATGGAATCTTAATATTCTAGACTTCAGTTTTATATTTACAATGTAGATTAATGGTTTCCTTCTTGTTGTTGTTTTAATTACCCATGTGACACATACAATTTGTAAAAATGTCAAATGTTAAAATTAACCATACCATAATATAATTTTGAATGAGCTATACTATATTAAAATATATGGACTTATCTTTACTTAATTACTCATATTTATAATAATTGATATTTTTATAGTTTCTAAATTTCACCATTTAAAAAAGGTAAATTTAGTATTAATATAATTATATATGCAAATACATCTATATTATATACAAATACTTACATAAAATTATATATACTTGCTTTCTGAATCAGAGATTTAAAAAGGAATTGACTTTTTGAAGGTAGTAAATTATTTGAAATAACTTAGATACACTTTACAAAGACCAAGCTATTTGCAGAATTGCACCAATGTTGCAGATACATATCCATTTTTATGTATTCACAACTTTAGAAAGATAATCATTATAAATTAAAATATCTTTAGAATTAAGGATTCTAAGGATTTTTATAAAAGGATTCTAAGGATTCTTTTTATAAATAAATTTTATAAATAAATAAATTAGTTCTGAGATTTGTCAAAATTTTACAATGGATTTTGTACTCATATATTATCTGAGGCATTATGAATCTCTCTAACTTCCCAATAAAGTACATATGAAGTCACAAAAATAGAAAAAATATTGAAATAAGCACCCCCCAAAAAACACTTTTCAAATATTTTAAAGAATCTAGTTAATATACTATTAAGTACTTCAGAAAAAAATAAATTTTGAACAAAAATGATGGCCGCCTCCCCTTAAAACAGAAAGATATTGAATTTCAAGAAGTTGGCGGTAAATGTTGTGATTTCTCCTGTAATGTTTGGCTATTCTGGGTAATGTAATAAATGAATAACTAGGGAGTATTTCTCCAGTGCACAAAAAGTCATTTTTGAAACAGAGATATACGCATAGTCTTCCAAAAATGATCTCCTGGTATTTTTGGGGAATGATATGCCATTCCCCACTTGCTCCTGGTAGTTACAATATTTTCTTCTACAGCCATTCATACCTTAAAACTTCAGAGATATAATCAACAGAATACCATAATGGAATAAGTTACAAAAGCCTTATCTTGTATCCTGACAGTTGTCTAGTCCAAGAAGGTCATAGATACCTTTCTCAGTCCTGTTCTTATCCATTTTTGGATAGTTTTCTTGCTATTAGTTAGCTTACTTTATTTATTTTTTATGTTTTATTTTTATTTTTATTTTTTGAGATGTTGTCTCGCTTTTTCACCGAGGCTGGAGTGCGGAGGCACGATCTCGGCTCACTGCAACCTCCACCTCCCGGGTTCAAACTATTCTACTGCCTCAGCCTCCCAAGTAGCTGGGACTACATGAACGTGCCACCACGCCCAGCTAAATTTTGAATTTAGTAGAGATGGGGTTTCACCATGTTGGCCAGGATGATCTCGATCTCTTGATCTTGTGATCTGCCCACCTCAGCCTCCCAAAGTGCTCGGATTACAGGCGTAAGCCACCGTGCCTGGCCTAGTTTGTGAAATCTAGAAGTTCTCCCGCCAGAAAATGCAGGCGTGTTTTGGTGAGACAGGGGAAAAAATAATGACCTAAAACTTCTCAAATTCTCACCAGTTACATTGTTGTTAGACAGTAGAAACTAGGATATAAAATACAAATAAAAATTTAGTCTCCATTTTTAACTCAGGTGCTTTTACTGGCGGGGGAAGAGACAATGGCAGTTCCAGCACTTTTGGAAAAACATACAGTACAAAGGATAATCCACATATCTTTTTATTGGCAAAAGTTAGTCTACATAACTATCACCACATATGAGAATAAGTCAATATGTTTAAAATATGTTTTTAAAAATGAATTACTGAGACATAATAGAAGGTGCAAATTAAAAGGTAGGGAATAATTATGGAAATAATGTTCAAAATGAAATAAAAATCATGTTTAGGAAATATCTGCTTTTTATTCTTATTATAATGTAAAAAATGTGATCTGTGTATAATTATGTAAGATGTAGAGAGAGACATTTAAAAAATAAAAATAAGAGAAAAGCCTCTGCCTTCTGGATTTGATTGCAAAAAGAAATAAATACATCTTTTCCCCAAAAATAAGTGTAAAACAGGATAAAATTCTCACAAACAATGATTAGGTCTCTGGAAAGCAGACAATACATTGAAAAGCATTTGTTTATTAAAAAATCTAACCATTTTAGTTAGAACAATGGAATTCTATAGATTTCTTGTCCAGCATTGTTCCCAGTCCCCACCACTCAGCTCATTTGGCAAGAATGGGCTTTGCCAGGGCAGGTTTGCTTGTGAAATCTAGACGTTCTCCTGCCAGAAAATGCAGGCGTGTTTTGGTAAGCGAAATAGGGGAAAAAATAGTGACCTAAAACTTCTCAAATTTGAGTTAAAAATATTAATATAAGATTTTAAAATCTCAATGAATCCCAAAAAAGATAACTACAAAGAGATATGTAATTAGACACAACATAGCCCAAGTATTGAAAACCAAAGACAAAAACAAAAGTCTTAAAAGTAATGAGAAAAAAACAAACATCAGTACAGGAAAGTAAATATGATTAACTGACTTCTCAATGGAAAAAAAAGTGGCTAGAGGGAAGCAGAATGACGTTTCATTTGCTGAAAACAAAAAAAATCTTGTAACAACTATACTACATCTGTCAAATTACCTTTCAAAACTCAAAACCATGTTACCACATTCCCAGAAGAAAAAAAGAAGAAAGAAAGCCACGAGACAACACTGCTAGTATACCTGCCCTACAGTAATAAAGAATGCTCTCCAAATCAAAGACATGGACACTAGACAATAAGTTACACCTACAGCAGGAAATGAAGAGTGGTAGAAATTGTAAATAGGTAGCCAAGAAAAATCTGTGTTATTTATATTTTGTCTCTCTTTCTCTTAATTACTTATATTTGTCTCTTCTTCTCTTAATTATTTTAAAAAGAAAGGTTGTGTAAAACAAGAATAAGAATACAGCAGTATATTTTAACCTTGGTGAGATATATATATATATATATATATATATATATATATATATATATAGCAATAGTGTGTGTATATATATATAACAATAATGTATATATGTATATGTCATTTTTGCCAATAAAAAGATGTGTGGATTACCCTTTGTACTGTATGTTTTTCCAAAAGTGCTGGAACTGCCATTGTCTCTTCCCCCACCAGTAAAAGCACCTGAGTTAAAAATGGAGGCTAAATTTTTATTTGTATTTTATATCCTAGTTTCTACTGTCTAACAACAATGTAACTGGTGAGAATTTGAGAAGTTTTAGGTCATTATTTTTTCCCCCGTCTCACTTACCAAAACATACCTGCATTTTCTGGTGGGAGAACTTCTAGATTTCACAAACTAGGCCGGGCGCGGTGGCTTATACCTATAATCCCAGCACTTTGGGAGGCTGAGGTGGGCAGATCACAAGATCAAGAGATCGAGATCATCCTGGCCAACATGGTGAAACCCCATCTCTACTAAATACAAATGTATATATATATAGCAATAATGACAGAAAGGATGAAGGAAGAATTGAAAGTATTTATATCGGGATAAAGTTTCTATTTTTAATGGGATTTAAGTCAATACTAACACGAAGTCACTATGATAAATTAAGAGGTGTTTTTTAGTTACTAGAAAAACCCATAAGAAAATATCTTTTAAATGTAATTTAAAACATGAAAATAAATAAAAAGAGTAAAATGGTAGCTCTAAATGTAGCTATATAAAGAATTACATTAAGTACAACTGGACTAGACACTTTAATTAAAATGTAGAAAAGAGCAGAACTTATTTTTCCTATGTACCCGTACCTGTTGATTCACTACAGTTAATAAAACTGTATCGTATATTTCAAGATACCCAGGAAAGAAGATCTTAAAAGTTATCACCACAAAGAAATGATAAAAGTGCGAGGTCACAGACATGCTAACTACTCTAACTTGATTGTTATACAATATATGCATGTATTGAAACATCACACTGTACCCCACAAATAATATACAATTATGTGCCAATTATAAACAAAAAGAATTCAGAAAATGTACAGAAGATCATCAGACTGGGTGGAAGAGCAAGATTCAACTATACGCTGACTATAAGGGACACATTATAGATTCAAAGGCTTGAGAATGTAAAAACATTAGCATATAAAGAAAATACCATGTAAACAATAATCATACAAGACCATCAATGGTGATATTAACTCAAATCTATTGTTGAGCTTCCCTGGTGAATTTCTTTACCTCTTTCATTGGACTTTTCACTGTAAAAGCTCCATTTGGTCCTTTTAAAAATGTCTTTTAATTAATAATTTCTGTTTGAAGAGTTATATTGTCATACTTTAATTTTTAAACATAGTTTATTTTGGTTCTTCCAATATATTTATAAAAAGTGCTTTGAAATATTTCTCTCCTAAGTCCTGCTTTGAAACTTGCTCAATGTGTGGATTGAATAAATCTCAGTTTCTTTTGTGGTAAAAGAGAGAAAATAGCTTTATCTTACAGGGTTGCCATCAGAATTAAATGAGTTAAAAAATATAAAATGTTTGGCATGTAATATCTCAATAAAATACTAATTATTGCTATTATTTCTTATCACTAACACCTACACACTTACCATGGGTATTTTTCAATAACATTGCATGACATTCCTTATTACTCTCAAGAGTCTTTAAGTTGTCAAGAGAAGTCTTAAGATGGGTGAAATAAACAGCGTCCTGCTTCTTCTCACACAACTTTCAACATGTGTGTTTGCCCCTCTCCACTTACTGAAAAAGGCACACTGACAAAATTACTGTTCAAAAACCTTTTATACAAAGCGTTGAAAAGGAGAAATTACTGAGTGGGAAGCCTGTTATTATCTCTACTAAGAAAGCCACTCAAAATTTCTCTAGCTGAAGTTTTATTGCCTAATGTCAGCTTTAAAAGAGTAGATGAAGAATTCTCATTTATTGGCAATATAACCCAATTAAGATATAACACTAATAATTTAAAAAGATATTGTAATTTGAAAACTTTCCTGCCTGAATTACAAAGACTTCCTGAAATGTGTCATTTCATTTCCAGTATGTAACTTAGTGAAAAAAGAATGCTTTTAAACCTTCAATGCTCTGTATGAAATAAAACACATTAACAAATGAGAGCGATCTAGAGAAATAGATCACCAAAAGCAACTTTATGAGATAAGATAATGAGTCTTGATGTTTCATTCAGGTTGGTGTCTATTTATGAAAGACTCTGAAGAAAAGGGATGGTATCAAATATTATGAAGGTCTTTCTTGAGGGTCATATGACTCTTGCATCTGAAAGAACATATGAGGCCCTTTTTCATTTTCAAAAAGATATTCCATTTCTGAAAAGAATGGCACATTTTGATATTCTTCCACTCAAACCAAAACTGTAAGAGATGGTATGATAAAGAAAAGGAAAAAATCAAGATATGTCTTGCTTTTCATTTCTAATATAACCAATGCCATAATATCACATGATCATTTCATCTCTCTACAAAATATGCAAAGGAGGCTGTTTTAGAGAAGGTTTTATGTTTCTTTTCTTTTTCTTTGCTGTTGTTGTTTTATAAATACAACTTTGAGTCCATAAATGAAACTTTTTTTTTTCGAGATGAAGTTTCGCTCTTGTTGCCCAGGCTGGAGTGCAGTGGCGCGATCTCAGCTCACTGCAACCTCTGCCTCCAGGGTTCAAGCGATTCTCCTCACTGAGTCTCCCGAGTAGCTGGGATTACAAGCCCCTGCCACTATGCCCAGCTAATTTTTGTATTTTTAGCAGAGATGGGGTTTCACCATGTTGATCAGGCTGGTCTTAACCTCCTTACCTCGTGATCCTCCTACCTCCGCTTCCCAAAGTACTGGGATTACAGGCGTGAGCCACCGCACCCGGCCGATACATTTTAAATATGACACTTTAGGGAGAAGGAAATAGTGCTGATGGGGAGAAAAATGGAGTGAACAGGTGGAGCACAGAGGGTTTTTAAGGCAGTGAAACTATTTTGTATAATACTATAATGGCAAATACATGTAGTTTTACATTTATCAAATCCCACAGAATGCACAACATAAAGAGTGAAGCCTAATGTAAACTTGGGGTGATAATGGTGTGTCAATGTAGGCTCAACGTTCTGGTGGAGAATGTTAGCAATGGGAGAGGCTGTGGATGTTTGGGGTAGGGGATATATGGAAACTCCCAATACTTACCTTTCAATTTTTCTGTAAACCTCAAACTTTTCTAAATAATAAAATCTACTGTAATAAAAAATATTAAATCTAAAAGTGAAGTCAGATTCCAATAAATTCTGGCTCAAAAATTCTCTACAAGCAGAAAAAAATTGGTATACAAACCAAGAAGAAAACATAAAGAACAAAAGTTGACATAACAAAACTTGACAGAAGAAAACCTGTTTTAAAGAATTCACATTCTTCCAATTTATATCTACATTATTATTGACAACATTAAAACTGTATGTTAATAAGGATGAGGAACAAAAAATAAAGGACAAGATATTAAATAATTGACATGGTTAAGTATACTGAACTTGAAGTCTGAAGTGCTAGTTCTTTGCTGTGAATATTCCACATGTCTTTAGGCAAGTCTGTTTCCTTCTCTGGGATTCAATATTCTTATCTTTAAAATAAGAGAGTTGAAAGCCTTAACTAAATTAGTGTTTCTTCCAAGGTTTCACTAAAAGAGTAAATATCACAAGGCTCAGAGGGAGGCAGCCTCAAGCACTCATTGCAAGTCCAGATCTTATTGAAGTCTCATGTTTTGCCTTAGAAATTCCTGCCCTGGCGTGTAAGATCGTATCTCAATAAAACTGTTTTAAAAATATTCCTGGTAGCACCAATCAGAAGGTTGATTTTTACTCTGCTTTGCCATTTAAAGTAGGTTATTAAATGCTCAGTACCTTAGTTTCTCCATCAGTAAAATAGTGATAAGTAGTAGTACCTACCTCATGAGGTGATTTTATAATTCATAGTAAGCATTAAAAACAATAGTCATTATTATTGATTGTTATTATTACAATGTTAGGCTATCATTTCTCAGCTTTTTCTATGACTTGTCTTCTTTTATCCTGCTGTTGTCAAACTTCCTTCACAGAAGTGCTTACCACTCCTGTTTTCTCAAACAATATTTAATAAAATTCTAAAATTAATTTTTGATGACTATTGTGTGGTTTTTGATTCCTTACATACAATACACACAAGTGATTTGGACACCATAATCATATTTTTGCTTCCAGAATAGCATTTTTGAGTTGGAAGCAAGGTTAAATTTACTTTTGAAATGAAAATATGAAAAATTTTTGAATATAGGGAGAGAACAACCAATGTGGTGTTAAGGATATAGATGAAAATCAATTTGAATCTTAAAACCTGATATTTCCTTACTTACATATCAGTTTGCCAAAAATATTATACTGTACTACAAAACCTTAAATATCTAACATTAATTTTCTAAGTTTCTATAATATGTATATCTAACAAATTGAATAACAAAAACATATTTACTATGTACTAATAGTATTATTATATATAATATTGAAATGATAGAAACAGTAAAAAGTTATGTGACCATTTTGAATACTGCTTTTGCTGTAACTAAGAAATAAAATGCTGCTGGGCGCAGTGGTTCATGCCAGTAATCCCAGTGCTTTGGGAGGCTGAGGCAGGTGGATAACTTGAGGCCAGGAGTTCGAGACCAGCCTGGCCAACATGATGAAACCCGATCTCTACTAAAAATACAAAAAATTAGCCAGACGTGGTGGTGGGTGCCTGTAATCCCAGCTACTCAGGAGGCTGAGGCATGAGAATTGTTTGAACCTAGGAGTCAGAGGCTGCAGAGAGCAGAGATCTGCCACTGCACTCCAGGCTGGGTGAAAGAGCGAGACTCTGTCTCAAAAAACAAACAAACAAAAGAAATTTAAAAAATAAAATAAAATACCTATCTTGGTATCATATTTCAGGCAAATGGGGAAAATATATAGTTATATACATATTTAAATTCTTTATTTTTAATGAGTCTGTTATCATCATATACTATCCCTGTCAATCTCTAGTACTCAATTTTATCTGAGGACTTCCACTTATGTTTAAGTTGGAATATCAGGAAAATATAGTGAAGTCTCAGATATAGAAAACAAAACAGATAAGCCTTATGATATCCCAGGTTTAACGGCTAGAAAGTTTCCAGGCCACAGTGTGTGGTGGGAGAATTCAGGCAAAGCCAGGTGATCTCCAAAAGTTAAAAACATGGAGCTGGGAGACTGGATACCCAAGCTAGCTACCAGTGATAGTTTTCAGGGCATAGTACAAACGGGGAGAAATAAGCTCAGAACAAGAACACTGGATGTGTGCAAAGAAATTCTCTTGGTTTTCCAGAAGATCACCACACAACCATTACACACATGAGAGAAAACCATCTATAAAGCTTACATAGGGCGCATCTCAACCTACCAGGCATACAAAAATCAAGAAAATAGGAAGAAATCCAGTCAATAGATACTGACCTGGAAATGGCATATGATGTAATTAATAGATGAAGATGGTGAATGAGTTATTATAATAATTTTTACCTCTACAAGATTGTAAACATGAACATGTTAATTAGAGACATGTAGAATATAAAGCAAACACTAATCAAAAATCTAAAGATAAAAAATTATTACTATAATTTAAAATACAATGAATGTTATTAACAGTATATTAGAGAATGGCATGGAAAATCTTAGTGAACTTGAAGACATAACAATAGTAATTAACCAAAATTAAAGATAGGAAAAAAATAGAAAAAACTGAAAAAGATCAGTGATCTGTGGGAAATTCATGTGGCCTAATGTTATGTCATTGTAGTCCTCCGTGTAGAGGA
Source organism: Homo sapiens (assembly GCF_000001405.40). Classification (NCBI taxonomy): domain Eukaryota; kingdom Metazoa; phylum Chordata; class Mammalia; order Primates; family Hominidae; genus Homo; species Homo sapiens. The sequence goes on along the minus strand of NC_000011.10, from coordinate 37,875,332 downwards.
ATAAATAATGGCAGAAAAGCATCCAAATTTAGTAAAATCTATAAATGCACAAATAGTTTAGTACAACTGAAAAGCAGCACCAAAAACACCAACCACGATATGCATAAAGGAAGTAACACCAAAGCCTATTACAGTCAAATGGCTAAAAAACAGTGATAAAGAGAATCTTTAAAAGTTGACAAAGAAAAAAAGGTGCATTAGGTACAATAAATGAAGGTAATTTCAACAGCAGAGCTTTTATCAGAAACAATGCAAGCTAGAAAATAGTGAAACAATATCTTTAAGATAGTGAAAGAAAAAAAAAACCTAGACTTCCATACTGAATTAAAATAAAGTAAAAGTTGTTAATGAAGTACAAAAACTTAAATAACTTATCACAGTCAGATCCTGTTTTACAAGAAACGTTAACAAGATCCTCTAGTCTGTAAAAAAATAATGTAAAATGAAAATGTAGATCTACACTGGTAAATATGTGGGGAAAATATGCAAAACAATTTTACTTACTATCTAAACTTCTTGAAAAGATTATTCTACTCCTTAATGTGTGCTTTGCATAATGACTTCCTTTATAAGGATACAGTATGTGCGTGTTGGGAGTAGTAGGAGTATAGAGAGAAACATACAGTGGAGAAACCTGACAAACACTACTTCAGCCTAGCAATCAAGTTCAACATATACAGTCATAAGTCACGTTGATTACGATGGAAACAGCATTTTATATCTTTTGCCTTCTTTTCAATAGCCAGTAGCCCTAGTATAATCATGGAAAAAAATCATACAATTTTAATAAAGAGTGATCCTACAATATAGCTGTTGAGTACTCCTCAGAACTGTCAAGGTCATCAAAAACAAGAAAGCCTGACAGGCTACTACAGCCATTTATAAACATTACAAGGAAATATAGTGTGGTACCCTGGATGGGATTCCAGCACACACAAAAAAGGCCATCCAGTAAAAATTAAAAAAAATATAAATATTGACCTTAGTTAATGATAATGTGCCAATATTGTTTCCTGAGTTGTAATAAATCTACCATATTAATTCAAGATATTAATAATAAGGAAAGTTGTATGCACGGGTTTTAGAGATGTATGAGAATGATCTTTACTATCTGCTCATTTTTTTCTTTAAATTTTAAACCATTATAAAAATAAAGCCTTTAAATAAAAATGTAATGGACTGTTTAATGCAAAAAAATAACCAATAATGTGAGCTTTATATGTCAATGTAAAATGTAAACAACAGAATGAAAATCAAAAAGTAAAACATGCAAGTATAATATCATGATTTTATATTTATAGGTAAAGTGGCTTAATATTTCTTGAAAGTAGACTGAGAAAATTTAAAGTTATACACAATAATACATAAAGTAACCGCTAGAAAATATTGTAAAGAGATATAGGTAATAATTTAATGAAATAGACAAAATTGAATCATAAAATATACTCAAATTCAAAGGAAAGCAGAAAAATAACAAAAGCAAACTAGAAAACAAATAGTAATATGGGATTTTAAAACAAAAAACTATTAATAATCACATCCAATGTAAATGCTCTTAACACTCCAATTAAAACTTAGAGATTACTAGAGTACATAAAAAAGGAAAACTCAACTATATGGAGCCTAAAAAAGCATTTAAAATAGACACATATTGCTTAAACACAAACAGATGAAAAATATGCCATTTCAAACTAATCAGAGAGACCTGGGAGAGAAATAATAATATCAGACAAAGCCAATTTCTAAGCAAAGAATATTACCAAGATAAAGAGTGTCATTTTGTAAACACGAAGGGTTTAATTCATCAAAAGTATATTGTAATTATAAACTTTTATGCACCTAATAACAGAGGATCAAAATAAATGTATCAGAAATTGCTAGAACATTAAGGACAAATATGTGTCTACTATTATCCAGATATTGTATATCCCTTTTGCAATAACTAATAAGGAAGAAAACTGAAATGCAGTGAGGATGTAGAAGACACGAACACTACTACCCATCCTGATCTAATTGATATTTAGAGAACACTCCACGCAACAACAGCAGAATGAGCATTCTTTTCAATTGTATACAGAATATTACCCAAACTTGACTGCATTCTGGGCTGTTAAACAAGTCTTACCAAATTTAAAAGGATTCAAAATGTATAAAGCATGGAATTAAATTATAAATTTAGTGGAATTAAATTATAAATTCAACAGTAATATAATATCTAAGAAAACTCAAATATATATATAAAAGCTAAACAATACAATGACTCATGGATTACAGGAGAAATGAAAGTCGAATTTAGGATATTTTTCTGTATTTTGAACTAAAAGAAAATGAAAACACAGCCTCACAATTTGTAGGGATTAGTTAATGCAGTACTAAAGGAAAAATTTATAGCACTGTAATAAAAAGTTATAAGGCCTCAAGTTAATGACCATACATTCAACTTTAATGAACTAGAAAACAAATGTGAAGGAAAACCAAAGTAAGCAGAAGAAAGGATATAATACAAATAAGAGAAAATATCCACAAAATAAAAACAGCTATAGGATAAAACTTTTTTGAAATGATTGACATTTTCACAACATGAATGGTGGTGATTATTTTGAGGATGTTTACATATGCCAAAAATTACTTAATTATTTACTTAACATTTGTTCGTTTTCTCTTATGTTGATTTTGCATCAGTAAGTCTCTAAAATGACCATGACATTATGTGTTTAAAGCACTTTTTCCTTGATATCTTAGTATCTAATTTACTCCATAATTCCATGGTCTTATAACATCTAATGATTCTATGGAGAAGTTTGAAAATAAATTTAATTATTGCTGATTTTAGGTATTTTTTTTACTCTGAACATTTTAGTATGTTAGAAAATATTCTATGAGTATCTCGCAATTCTGCACACACTGAATGTTCTCTTTTTCAGGCTCTTTTCAAAAGCCTATATAGAGTAAACAGTCTTGGAAGACAGATATAGGTGCCTCCCTAAGGAGCAAAAAACAAGCATGTTTTCTGCCCATCATAAGAAATGCAAGTTTTCATTGATCACAGGTTTTCCCTATAATGCAACTCACCATGTGCAGGCACCATCCTGCTGAAAGGGGTGGGGGGCAAAAAGAAATAAAGCAATATGTCGATTTTATGTCCCCTTTGTCTAACCCAGCAATGTCATGTCTATTTCCAGCCTCCATGAAAAATGTCAATATGGTAACATGTTAGCTTGCAAGTAAAATCTCAGACTCTTCATAGTTTTTTATTAATTGACAGATAAAATTGTACGTATTTATCACACACAGCATGTTACTTTGAAACATACATGCAATGTGGAATGACTAAATCTTGCAAATTAGCATAGGCATTACCTCACATAGTTATCATTTTGTGAGAACACTTAATATCTACTCCCTTAGCATTATTCAAGAATACAGTATATTGCAAACTATTATCATCATGTTGAACAATAGATCTCATGAATTTACCTCTCCCATCTAACTGAAATTTTATATCCTTTGACTAACATCCTCCTAATCTCCCTCAAGCACCCAGTCCCTGGTAACTACCATTCTACTTTCTGCTTTTATGAGATCAACTATTTTTGATTCCATATATAAGTGGTATTGTGTGGTATTTGTCTTTCTGTGCCTGGCATATTTCATTCAACATAACATCCTCCAGGTTCATCTATATTTTCACATATGACAGGATTTTCTTTATTTTTATGGCTGAATAGTATTCCATTATGTATATATAACACATTTTTTATCCATTGATGAACATGAGAGATGTTTTTCTTTTATCGGGTAAATCAGATACAGTATTTTCCTCTCTGCTTCTTGCCAAAATGATGTTGATAATATGCAGGTATCCCAGCTCTTAGGGTTTATACCCATCAGTTTATAATTTGGGTTTTGTGAGGATACCCTCTCACTTAGGGTCTTAGTGCATTCCAGCTGTTATAATGAATTACTATAGACTAGGTGGCTTTTAAACAACATAAATTTATTTTGCATAGCTCTGGAGGTTGGGAAGTCCAAAATCAAGGTATGGACGGATTCCATGTCTAGTGAGAGGTCCCATCCTGATTCATAGTCAGTGGTGTTTTTGCTATAATCTCACATGATGGAAACTGTGAGGGCTCTCTCTGAGGCCTCTCTTATAAGGGCACTATACCCCTTCATGTGGACTTTACCCTCATGACCTAATCACCTCCCAAAAGTCCCACCTCCAATCTCACATTGGGGGTTAGACTTCAATATATGAATTTTGGAGAAACAAAAACATTCAGACCATAGAATCTAATTTTATTATAAATGTGTGTGTATGTGTGTGTTTCTTTATATGTGTGCTTTGCTACCTAGATAATCTGTATGATTTGCAAAAAAATTGATATGGGGAAATTTCCTTATGAGGTATTTGAAGTACAAAGTCAGAAATAGGAAATGAGGAGCAAGGAAGATAGATACCTATTTTGAAGTCTAAATTAGATGAGTTGTGGGACCAGAACTGTTTTCTATTTGAGAGAACTCCAAGGAAGTACTTTTCTGTGGGGAGCAGGAGGGAGAGGGAAGAAGTATTAGTTTCTCCATAAAAATGAAGGGACTTTCAGAGTCTTGACTTTATAGAGGAATTTGCTAATGTCATTCTGAGAGTTCCTATTATAATAGCACACCATATTTTAAAGCAGGGGAGATTAGGAATGGAGTGAAATCATGGAACATACAGTGTGATGTTTAGATAGGCATTCATTCATGATGGAATTCAATCTTGAATTCAATTGTCCTACACTATACGCAGGGGATTTTTTTGCAGGACTCCCGTGTTTGCCAAAATCTGTGCATTTAGGGTCTTTCTCCTAAAAGAAACAACTCAAGTTTTAAGTGGAAAAAGATGTGAGGTGTGCAAGACCATTCAGAAGACTTTAGAGAAGTTTGGGCAAGACAGGTAAGAGCTTCAGCTTACATGGGTGGGGAGAGATGGCAACAAGTGCACAAATTTGAAAGTTTTCATGAGATAAAACTAACAGAACTCAGTGGGTGGGATATGGGGGAAAGGGAAAGGAAATCTTTGGAAAGAGTGAACTCCAATGAGTTGAGTCTACTTATCTGCAAGTCCTGCAGTCAACCCTACAGAATCCACATATATGAAAATTGTCCCTCTGTGTACACAGATTGTATCCTATGAACACCGAGTACCACATTTGGTTGAAAAAAACTCCACGTTTAAATGGACCCAAGCAGTTCAAACCTGTGTTGCTCAAAGGTCAACTGTAATTGAATAACTTGTGATGACTAAGGTCAATTAATATATAAGGCATTATGGATTTATTTCTGAATTTTGAAACACAAGCCTAAACCAGCATTAAATTTTACAATGGCATAAAAATTCTTTTAGGATGGATTTATTTAGTCTAGCAGAAACTGCTCATTTAGATTACGGTTTTATTGAGCTATCACTCAATAGTATGTATGCTACATAAAGGAATTAAAAATACTATTAGTAAACAGCATATATTATTTAGAGCTTAATATTTCCTCAAACCAAGATTTGTTTTAGAGCTTAGATATACAAAGCCCGTCTCTAAAGATTAACTGTTTTTTCCACAACAAAAAAAGGTTTTATGTATTAAAAGAATGACTGTTGAAGATGATCTTTTCCCACATACCTTATGGGAAAGACAGCTGTGTGGCTATCATTTCTCGGCTTGGATCAGAGTTTTCTCTGATCTGATTGTCTTGTTGTTGTCAATACTGTTGTTTCTCCACCTCTTCTTTGGTTCTAAGATGAACAGAAAATACACCCATGTGCCAGTGCTTTTTGTCCATAACAGATTTACTGCTGTCCATTTATCATCGCATTGCAACTCTGGGCTGGTAGCACAAGATAAATGGAGCTATTCAGTCCTTTTCTTTTCCTTAGTTGCTTGTCAGCTTCTCAGAGTGGAAGGAGTGATGGTGGCAAAATTAAGCAACAGAAACACAATATAGAAAGTCCTTCCAGGTGAAGTTCAAGTTGCAATAACTTTATCATCAGGGACTTTTTCCCATATTCTGTTCTGAGGGAACTTTAAATCGAAGTCAAATAGCTAACTGTAAATCTAGACAGCACAACACAGAGCTGGGTGAACCTTGGATGCTTGTGCCACAGATTGGAATAAATCTAAGGTGTTTTTTGTTTGTTTTTACTCTCCTGAAGTGACTGGAATATGAAAAATCAAGAATTTTTTTCTTCATAAAAAGAGTTTCTACCCTTAATAACTTATTTGCCTATCATTATATTGAGTGTTCATTTAAAAAAAATGATTATACTAAGAAGTTCCCCATTTGTTTTAGAAATGCTGGATGCCCAGGGAAAATAAGACTTTGAATAGTGTAAACTCTGATGAGTTGAGTCTAGTTATCTGAAGCTGAAGAAATTTTAGTGACTTTAGTTATTGCCAGTTTTAAGAAAAACAGACACTGGAAGTAGATGTACATCAAATACTTCTTAAATTTGAGACAATCAGATCACGAAGTCAGTTAATGTGATCATAAATATGAATTTACATAAGAGGAAATTAAGTTCTTTACATTATATGTTAATTTTTCATTTTATCTATAATTGCCCTGTATCTAAATTTTTTTCCTATCTCCCCCCAAAAATCAGTAAAAAATGAAAATGTTAGGAGAATTTTTTCAGACTAGAAACTTCATATAAATATTATAAAGACTGAAACTGTTAGTTGAAAGTTATGGATTTTATATATATATATAATATATATTATATATATACAATATATATTATATATATACACACACACACACACACGTTTACTTCCCTTTCTTCCTTTGTCTTGTCTAGTTTTATTTATGAGATAGACTAAGGCTATGATATTATGATACCTTTCTGATAAGATTTAAATATAGGACAACTTGCTTCACTGAAAACAATTTTATGATCTCTTATACCAGGAATCAACCTAAAAAAATACTTCCTTAACAATCATAAAGTGAGTTTTTCTTTTATATTTATGTGTTAGATAACAAGCGGCACCAGCCTATATAAGCATCCAGTCATTTTAAAGCATAAATGAGTACCAAAAAATTTGTGCTGGTAAATAAAGTGTTTTTAGATCAACTGAGTGCCTTCTCAACAATTACACTGGATACATACTATGTCTTAGGCACTCTTCTAAGTGCTGGGAATATAGAGTAAACATAAGAGAAAAAAATTCACGGTCTCATGAAGCTTAGTTTTAAAAAATATGATTTCTGGTATATAAGAGAGTCTTAGAGATTAAATTTGATGTTGCTATGTAATAGCAATAACTTTGTATTTCTGGCACTGTCTGATGTATATGTTGCTAATATAGATGGGTTATAATTTACTAAGTTATTCAGTTATTGAACTTATATGTGTGTTAGCAACATGCAACAGTCTGTGAGAATGTAAGAATGAACAATATTGGAACAGTACTCACCCTGGGCCCACTAAAGAAGATTTGCACTGAGTAAACAATTAAAATATGAAGAGTCGAGAGAAATGTGGAGGGTGCCCTAAAAGTCAGAGGGGGGACTTAATTTAGAATAAAGGTTCAGAAAATTTTCACCAAATAAATTAAATTTCAGCAGAAACCTATTGGATCAGTTACAGACATCCCAATGAGGGAAGGAGAATATCCAAAGGCTCTGGGGTAGGGTGTGCTTGGTGTAGAAGAGTATGAAGAAAAAAATTATTCAAGGTATGAAACTTTCCAATAATAACAAAATAATGTGTGTTTGAGGTGATGGATATACTAAATACTCTGATTTGATCTTTATACATTCTATGAATGTATCAAAATGTTATATGCGCATCACACATATGTACAAATACTATGCAGCAGTTTAAAATAAAAATAAATTTTAAAAATGTAAATCAGTGTAAAAGTATTTTTGGTTGTATAATTAGATTGTTCTCACGCTAACATCCTAAAATAATAACAGTTAATCCTATCCTCATGGATATGAACTGCCAGAAGATATCAAAGATATCTAAGGAAAGCTGATGTCATGAAAGTCCCAAGATAAAAATATCTAGTAACTTGTCACAATGAAAATATTTAAAATATTCAGAAACTAGAATGATTTTTTAAAAAATTCTAATAAATTGGAAGGTATACTAGATACTCAGCAGGATATTTCATCTGTAAAATAACAACACACACACATACACACACACAAATCAGAAAACAAGAAAAAGTTTCTGACAAATGGAAGTTTAAACTTCTGTAGTTTAAACTTTTAAAATTCTTTATTTCAAAGCAAAAATGCACAAAAATATAATGTACATTGTTTAATACCAATGTAGTGATCTGGAAGAAAATGTAAAGTTTTCTCCCATAAAGACATAATTTTATGGAGGGAAGTCCAAGTGATCCATCTGCCATCTGTATGATATGAATTATACAATGGAAGAATATTTTTAGTAATTATAAAATGGAATAATATTTCAATAATTTAAAATTAAGGAAAAAAAATTACTAAAGATATAATAGAAAAAACTTTCCCTGAACTGAAGACTACATATTATATTAAATATGATCAGTAAATGCTAAGAAACATGAACAAAAATCAAGCCATACATTCTGATTGAGTTTAAAAATACCAAGGACAATGCAAAAAATTCTAAACATTTCCTAAGAAATAAAAAGGGCCCCTACTAGAAACAAATAGGCAACAAACATGATTTATTATCACGTCAAGTTCAACTGGATTAACGTTACATATGAATCAAATAAGACCTAGATTCACAACAAATTCTAGTGTCAAAATTGACAAGCACTAAGGCTTTTGCATGTTGAAAACCTCTTCATTGTTTATTGGTTATTTCAGACAACTCAGTATTACCACCACCAAATACCATATTGAAGTATATTGGCGACTCCAGAAAAAAAAATGAATTCATGGATGAATTTAGTAAATAAACCCTAAGGATTCAAAAGAGAGTGACTGGGTTTCTAAAAACTCTGCATTGCTTAACATCAATACTGTTTTTTGTTTTCTTTTGTTTTGCTTTGTTTTGTTTTGTTTTGTGTTTTTTTGAGACAGAGTCTGGCTCAGTCACCCAGACTGGAGTGCAGTGGCAAGATCTCTGCTCACTGCAAGCTCCGCCTCCCGGGTTCATGCCATTCTCCTGCCTCAGCCTCCTGAGTAGCTGGGACTACAGGCGCCCGCCACCACGCCCAGCTAATTTTTTGTATTTTTTTTTTTTTAGTAGAGACGGGGTTTCACCATGTTAGCCAGGATGGTCTCGATCTCCTGATCTTGTGATCCACCCGCCTCGGCCTCCCAAAGTGCTGGGATTACAGGCATGAGCCACTGTGCCCGGCCACATCAATACTGTATTTAAACAAATTTTACTTCATTCAAATAATTGTTAATTCAGCAAGCAAAATTAAGTAGGTTATTATTGCAAAAAAGAAAGTATAGCTTTTACCTTTGTTTGCAAATAGTTATCATTATGCCAAATAAAGAACACCCTCAGGGAATAGATTGTAGCTGAGTGTAATGTGGATTATTGTTTAGTTCTAAGGTAGTACATATATTACTAATGCAGAGTTTTTATTTATTTAGAATAACACCATGGGTTATCTTAGACAACAAGTTGTAGTTGTTCTGAATTAATGTAACATTACCCAAACAACTAGAAAGATAAAGAGCTCTTGTCAGGCATTAAAATGGTTCTAAGCATATCTTTCAACTAAATATGCCTCCCTAAAGGAGAATTGGCAAGAAACAGAAGCTAATATTTTAATTCTTGCTGTGTTGCTAAACGTATCTTATACCTCAGCTAGCCTCCATTTGCCTCTTTTTTGATATAATAAGTAGGAATAATGACAAGATTCTATATGGGAGAAAATTTCTAGAAAATTTATAGAACTGATTTCATTATGATCTTCATGTTAAAAGGAACAAGGATATTTTCCAAGCTACTTTAAAAGCAAGGGTTAGAAGAATAATTATCATGAGGATTCCCAATGACGGTAGCTGAAGTCACTGGGAATTGAGGTAGATGTGAAGAGGCAGTTTTTCCATTCTGTCTTCTTATTTCCATGGTCTTTCTCCAATGGCATTTCTGTTTCTCTTTGAATTTGCATTCCCTCTTTTCCCTTCCAGTAAGTTTCATCATTTCTTTCTCATAATCTTACCTTATACATTTTCTTTATGTCCTTACTTTTCCTTGACTTGTTTTCTTTTAATTTCAATTTCTACCCATTTGCTTCAAGTTTCCCAATTCCTATTTACAAGTAACTTGGCTATCTCATAAAGGGTCTGCCCTTGTATAAGACGTCCTCACTCCAATAAAATGGGATCATGCGGCACAAAACATCATCAGTTACATCTGTGAAATAGAATGAACGATATTAGAGGCTAGGAAGGGTAGGAGGAAGTGGAGGTGGGGTGGAGGATATAGGGAGGAATTTGTTGAATGATACAATATTACAGATAGATAGGAGGAATAAGTTCTGGTGTTCTATAACACTGTAGAATGACTATAGCTAACAAAAATATATAGCTCCAAATAGCTAGAAAGACATTGAATTTTCCCAACACAAAGAAATGATAAATGTTTGAGATGATGGATATGCTAATAACCCTGATCTGATCACTATATGTTATATGTGTCACAACATTACTATGTACAATTATTATGTCAATTAATAAATGAAAACGAAAACTAAAACTAAAAATAATAAAAGCACCAAATAGAAAAACAACGACAACAAACCCAGAATCACCAACAGCAAACATGTTCATGTAGGCAGCATAGCACAAGGGAAGAGCAAAGTGATGGGCAGATACTTATTGAAAACCAATAAAGTATTATACCACAGAAGAGATCGTCCTATTGATTATGACTGACGTTCTTAGGAGAAAAACAGGAAAGCATTTTGAAGTTTTTGAACAATTTCAATAAGCGTTCTTAATGCCACAAAAAGTTGTATGCTTATTTATTTATGCTTATTTATTTGACACCTGTCTTCTTTGCCCCAACTCTCACTGCCTAGCACATTGCATGGCACATAGTTTATATGGAATAAATAATTGAATAAATATTTTTTAAAAAACTGCTTTGCCATTAAAGCTTCCAAGCGTAGTTCCTTGTATTATTTTTAAAGAACGACACTTTGAAACTTCATTTATTTCCATATCTAGTCAATAAAAATAATGATAAAAGTCTGAGGAAGAAACTAAGAAAACATTTTATGCAATTATTTAATATTTTCTTCCATAATTCTCCAATCTGCAGAATCTAGGAAATATGTCAATTATCCTAGACACTATTTCATGTGTTTTTATTTATTTTATATAAATGTATTGTTGGAATCACAAACCTAAACAAAAGAAGGAGGAGGAGGAGGAAGAGAAGACATACTTCTCCTTTGAACCATCCCATCCTCACTCGCAGAGGACAAATCACATAAAGATTCCCTGCCATCATTAGGGGCTTTCTGGACCTCAGTTTTCCTATGTTTTTTGTCTGCTGTATGATCTATCGCCCAACTCCTGAGGGAAAAGAGACGTTTCTATTAATGCAACCTTTCATCTCTAAGATATGTGGATGTAAATTGACAACCCTGGTTTCTTCATGTGATTTTTTTTTCTTAATTAGCACTCTGTTTCTGAAAAAAAAATGTTTTGCTGTTTCTAGAGGAATTTTTCAAGAGATAGATACTCATAACTGCTTCATAAAAAGAACTAAATACATGAAGGTCTTTTAGACAACTCTAGGTAAAAATCACTTGAGTCATATAGGACTATATTCACATGCCAATGCCATCAATATTTTTGAAGCCTTTTTATCAATTGGTTCTGACAACTTCAGCTAGAATATCAATGTCATAATAAGTCAAAATCCTCTTAATTCATGCCATTGCTTTTAAGATCATTATATATGATTTACTTTCTTGGAGAAAGAATGATTTTTCACATGTATATGAGACTTGTAACATTAAAAATTGTGCAAAATTTAATACAATCTAGGCTAAAGCCATTAATGAGTTTGAAAACCTATTTATTAAGTATTCCAAAATTTGCTATTTTTAAAAAATAGATATTGAACTCTAGGTCTATCTAAAATGGACTCTATATATTATCTGGGGAAAACAAAAATCAAGAGGATACTTCAAGTATGGCTAAAATCATTCATAAACAGTGTTATTACCTAACACAGGATTGCTAGATATTTGTTATAACACAGAAGCAGAGATTTACATTTGGATATCAAGAGCCACCATTTGCTGAACAACCCTCATTTGCTGCAATTGTAGTAAGTGCTTTATATTATACCTTGCTTGTTTTGAAAACTAGGTGTGTTGATCATCTGAGTTGAAAATTACAGAATCCACTCTATCTGCAGTACCAGGAACAGATTCATGAAAGAGTTTTAGAAGGCTCCCAGAATTTTAGGCAAGGGTAAGCCTGCAGGAAAACACTCAAGCTTGGTGGGACCTAACTAATAAGTTAACTTCTGCTGAGGACCTCAGGACCAGGTTGCCTCCACCACCGTCTCTGCTAGCACAATGGATGCATATTCCATCAATAGCTCTTTTTCAAATCAATGTCTTGTATGAATGCATGTGTTTAATAGAACTTAGATTAGTTGCAAGGAAAGCTGAATGCTATTTCTATTTCTTTAATGTTACATCATTATTTTATATTTTACCTTAGGATTCTAAGATTCATAAAATCAAGACACATTGAAATCATATGATTGTAGTAAAAGGATTTTGATTAGCCAAGAATCATAAGTCCCCACTGGAGCAGGTATTGAACTTTCATTCCTCATTTAAGAAAACAGATTCACAGGTTATGTAATTTGATCAAATCCTAATTGCTCCTAACTTTTTGGTGAAATAATCACTGTGTTTGGCTAACATTTTTAACTTATCATGTCACTGCCCATTTAAGAATCCCAATAAAAATAAATTGATGAAACACTAAAGTCAATTTGGTATTCATTTAACTTTAAATAAAATATTTTTCTGCATTAAGGAATTGATTAGTATTTTCAAAATCCAAACAAATGGACAGATAACACTCAATATCAGGTAGAAAAAGAACATAAACTGATGTAAAGATTAAGAGCAGAGATTTAAGAATCAAATTGCCTGGATTGTGGTCTTCTTTTGCTTTTTGTTATTTCAAATTTTTGTGGTATTTTGCTTTTATTTGATACAATAACTTTTACAAATTACTTAAGCATTTTGTTCTTTAGTTTCCTCATCTGTAAAATGTGAAACAAATAGTATACAAATAAAATACATTTTAATTTTAAAATTTAAAAAAGCTTTTGTGAAATCATTTATAGTAGTTCTGGATGTGTAGTGAGTTTTAAGTAAATGCTGTTATGGGTAGGGTGCCAAATGCAGCAGAAATGAGGTGGGATTTGAGCTGGAACAAATTGTCTTAAGCCTCCCAAAGTGCTGGGATTACAGGCTTGAGCCACCGCACCTGGCTGATATAATCTTTATCATTGTATCATTGCTCCTAGCATAATGCTAAGCACATTTGTGGTAAGTGCTTACCAAATATTTGTTGAAGGAGTGAATGAAGGCATCAGTAAACCCAGTCAACAAATTAATCATCTCAAATTATAATGTGAGCTTAATTTCTTATACCAAATATGTAACAGCATGTTATAATGGAAGAAACAGTCAAAGGTCTGATTTTGACATCCTGGTCACATGATCTTGTGCAAGTTATTATGAGTTTTTTTGGATTGTTTGTTTCCTCAACTACAAATAAATAAAATGAAGAACCCTTACTTCAAGGAGATATGAGAAGTGAAATAAAATATATGAGAAGTCAAAATACGACTTGGTAACTGTTGAAATGCTGTGCAAATGTTAGTTGTTATATTAAAGTTGATTTAAATTATAAGAGAATACATCTTGATGGGTTACTAATAACTATAAATGGCCAATAATGTATTTATATTGTGCACCTCTGAAATACATTAAGCAAAATTAGTTAAAAGCTACCTGAAATCAAGAAATCATTATTTGGGTGGGAAATTTTCATTAAAAATTTGATTCTAAGTGAAACTTACCAAAATGGCAAATACATTTTTCCTTTTTCTCATGTGAGAATTCAAGGCTGTTGAAGTATAACTTGTTACATATACTAAAGAATGGAATTAATAAAATCCATTTTCACTGCTCGCAACAAAACCTTACCTATTTTGAGAAACTTAAAATGGATTATATTTTTAATTAACTTTTTTTTTTTTGAGATGGAGTCTCTCTCTCCCAGCTGGAGTGCAGTGGCATGATCTTGACTCACTGCAACCTCTGCCACCCAGGTTCAAGTGATTCTCCTGCCTCAGCCTCCTAAGTAGCTAGGATTACAGATGCGCCACCACGCCTCTACTTTTTGTATTTTTTAGTAGAGATGGTGTTTCACCATGTTGGCTAGGCTGGTCTCGAACTCGTGAATTCAAGTGATCCATCTACCTCAGCCTCCCAAAATGCTGACTTTACAGGAGTGAGCAACTGCACCCAGCCAGCATTTTGTTTCTAAGAAAAGACATAACAAGTAATTTATAATGTAAAGAATTCTTTATGACATATACTGGAGATGTAAATCAAAGAGAAAACAGAAAAAAATAAGATGATAGAAAATATCCTTCTTTGAGAGTTGTTATATACAACTCACTAATACTTATCTTATCATCCAGTGTGTTTATGTATGTGTGTGTGCATGTTCAGTGATAGACATTATTACCATTCATTTCCAGTGAACAATTAATTTTTTAGTAGAGTTTTTCTTCACTAGAGGCAGGTTATTTTTATTAAATGGAGCATGAAAAATTAAAAGAGCTGCTTGAGTCCAATTAGATCTTCTGATTTCTATTTTGTTTCTAATATTTAATATATACTAGTTATCATCTTTAAATACCCTATGAGGATTTCAAAAAATAATTCAGAATATATTTTATATCTCACACCTATCCTCATCATATTTCACATATGAGGTTGTAATTTAAGCTGTTTTACAAGTATATAGAAATCTTTTTAAAAATGAAATAAGAGAAAATTACTGGTATATAAAAAGTTTTCCTTTTCTGGATTCTTTCAGAACACAATGTTCTTTATGTTTGAGCCTAGGTGTTTCGTTAATGATTTGAAATCTATTTACTCCTATATATAGTTTTTTCAGTTGCTACATTCTGAGGAATCTTAGGAAGGCTCTCTTTTTTTTTATCAAAAAAAAAAAAAAAGACACAGCAGGCATCTTCCTTTGAAAAGTTATCTAATGTTTAGTAACAGTTTATTCAGAGGAGTGGATAGAAAAATGGGGGAAAAGGCTGTTCCATATTTCTATTGCCAATGTCTCAGAGAAAATAGAACTGCCTCAATATCTGTGTTTCCCTAATAAACTGTTCATTCTTTAACTTAATTAAATGGAGGGAATGAAGGGGTGGCCTGCCCCTCCACACCTGTGGGTGTTTCTCGTCGGGTGGGATGAGAGACTGAGAAAAGAAAGAGACACAAAGACAAAGTATAGAGAAAGAAAAGTGGGCCCAGGGGACCCATGCTCAGAATATGGAGGACCCGCGCCGGCACCGGTCTCTGAGTTTCTTCAGTATTTATTGATCATTTTTTCTACTATCTTGGAGAGGGGGATGTGGCAGGACAATAGGGTAATAGTGGGGAGAGGGTCAGCAGGAAAACATGTGAACAAATGACTCTGTGTCATAAACAAGGTTAAGAAAAAGGTACTGTGCTTGGATGTGCACTTACATAAACATCTCAATGCATTAAAGAGCAGTATTGCCGCCAGTGTGTCCTGCCTCCAGCCCTAAGGCGGTTTTCTCCTGTCTCAGTAGATGGAATATACAATCGGGTTTTACACCAAGACATTCCATTGCCCAGGGACAAGCAGGAGACAGATGCCTTCCTCTTATCTCAACTGCAAAGAGGCCTTCCTCTTTTACTAATCCTCCTCAGCACAGACCCTTTACGGGTGTCAGGTTGGGGGATGGTCAGGTCTTTCCCTTCCCATGAGGCCGTATGTCAGACTATCACCTGGGGAGAAACCTTGGACAATACCTGTCTTTCCTAGGCAGAGGTCCCTGCGGCCTTCCTCAGTGTTTTGTGTCCCTGGGTACTTGAGATTAGGGAGTGGTGATGACTTTAAACAAGCATGCTGCCTTCAAGCATTTGTTTAACAAAGCACATCCTGCATAGCCCTAAATCCATTAAACCTTTAGTGGACACAGCACATGTTTCTGCGAGCACAGGGTTGGGGGTAGGGTTACAGATTAACAGCATCTCAAGGCAGAAGAATTTTTCTTAGTACAGAACAAAATGGAGTCTCTTATGTCTACTTCTTTCTACATAGACACAGTAATAGTCTGATCTCTCTTTCCCCACAAAGGAACATTAATTAAATGCATGTGGCATATTTGATACTTACAGAGAAGATAATTTTTTTAAAAAAATAATCTTTGTATGGGTAACAGAATTTGCAGCTTAATCATGTTGCTTCTCTTTATGAAAATTTTTACTCATATAAGGAAGATAAATTCACTGCATACATGCTTTGAGTACCGCAGCTTGGCTGGTTACTGCATCTTCAAAAATAGAGACTACTAGAGAACATCCACAGGTTGATAATTTAAAGTCCAAAGACATGGAATCATTTCCATGCAATAGAAGCTAAGTTCTATTAGAAAGTTAACAATTATATATCTGGGGCAAAGTTTATAAGATCAAGCATTGTAGAAAGATCTGTACATATTTAGCCACCAACAGGCATCACTTGGTATTACATATTAACACTTTAAATAGGTTGCTTAGCAGGATGATTGATGTATATTTTAAAATGTGTAGTTTACCAAATGCCACACAAATACATTATAGCAAAAAATGTATTTTTTCTAAATTTATATACTTGCTACAACAGAGAAGATGGAATATTTAGCATTTCGTCAAAAGCGTAGAGGTTAGCTCTGGAGTGGAATTTATCTAGCTCTCTCTCTCCCAAATGTTCATAATGCCATTATTTGAAAGAATATAGGAATGTTGAATCATTATCTCAGCTAGATAAATATATCTCTGCCCTTATTGTAGCAAAGTTGCTTATTTTGGAACTCTTTTATATAGAACAGATCGGAAGTGACAAAGACAATATGTAATTCAGTAGTCTTATCTTAATATTGAGAGAGCAGAAAGGAAGAAACCAGCTAGGCAGATAGGGCAAAGTGTCCTCAACAGAATTCCCTCTCTAGCAAAGAGCAGCTTGGAAGATTGGGCTACAAACATAGATAAGGAAGGGAGTTCCAGCACAGAAGGAGAGCCTCCTGGGTAATCAGCAAGCTTCAAATACACAAGGTGGGCCCCATTAAGCACATTGGGGGCCCTAGTGACCACATTCCTTTCCTTTTTTGGCCATACTAAGATAAGGAAGCTTGGGGGGAGGGGCGGGACAGGGAGGGAGGGGTGCTTGCAGCTACACGAATAAGAAGAACTACCTTGGGCCAGGCACATTCACCATGAATGGTTCTGCCCCCGCCGAGCACATGCACAGTGGGGAAAAAATAAGCAACATGGAGTAACTTAGCCTAAGGATCTGCCTGTGCAATAAAAGGTTGGGGTGGTGGCTGCCAGAGATTCATGCCCTATGCGGATGACACACCTAGTCCTAACTGGTTTTTTTGTGTCTTAAGTAGATAAGATACCCACTCCCCACTAGCTCATTTATAAAAACCCTAGCATTTCACTGAGAAATGGGCAACGTTGTTCGAGGCCCCTCTCTACAGCAGAGAGCTGTTTTCTTTCTTTTGCCTATTAAACATCTGCTCTAACCTCACCCTTGGTGTGGTTCTTTGTCCTTAATTTCCTCGGCTGTGAGACAAAGAACTTCTGGTGTCACGCCAGACAACGAGGCCATTTCAACATCTTAATCATGCTGGCACACTTATCAATGCAATTCAAGATCTTATGGCAATACTTATATAAGTTCATCTAACTCATTTAACTTGAGAGACTGTGATGTTTCATGGAAATGGACTTATGTCTGTTTTGAAAATTTGATGAAAGAGTGTGAGGACACGCAGTGTGTCT
The DNA here is from genome assembly GCF_000001405.40 of Homo sapiens. Taxonomy (NCBI): domain Eukaryota; kingdom Metazoa; phylum Chordata; class Mammalia; order Primates; family Hominidae; genus Homo; species Homo sapiens. Next base: position 37,857,246 of record NC_000011.10, on the reverse strand, counting down.
TAAAGACTTGGCTCCTTCATTATAGTAACAAAAGAATTTCCTCTACCATCCAAAACTCGAATGTAGAATAATTTTATTCATTTAAGTATATCCTCTCTTTTTCTTTTCTTCTATCATCAGTACTTTATGCTAAGTAAGCCATTGCTTAACTTTCTTCTAGTTGGTAATGTCTCCTCCCTTAATTTCTGCTAAGGGTAATTTCACAAACATATAAATTTTTAAATTCTCAAAGAGCAATAAACATATGTGAGGTTCTGAATAAGAACAGGCAGTTTTCTGAATATCTCATGTAATTTCCAATATTAATGTTTTCTTACTGAAACAGAAATCTCAGTCAATGATAGGAATTTAGTATTTGAAGACAAGTATACAGAGCTTTCGCATCCTGGAATTAACATTGAGAAACAAACACACAAACAAAAAACTAACATAAATTAGTTTTCCACATTTTTTTAGGTCACTTACCTGGAATTAGCCAAATTGTGAGGTTTGAAGGCATAGTCTTCCAGACTTCAATTCTATCCAGCACTTTGAACACCAACTTTTAGTTTGCTAGAAATACTCACAAAACCCTCTGAATGTTGTCATACACTGAGTACAGTTTATTACAGGAAAATGATATATTGAAACCAGCCAAAGAAAAAGACAGGGTTCCAAATAAAATGTGTCTGTTGTCCTCAGGATGCGTTACACTCCAGGGATGGCCAATGATACATTTTGGATATTTGTCCTTTCCAAATCTCATGTCAAAATTTGATCTCCAGTATTGGAGGTGGGGCTGTTGGTGAAAGGTGTTGGGATCATCTGGCCAGATCAATCATGAATGGCTTGGTGCTATTTTCTCCATGTTAGTGAATTTTTGTTCCATTAGTTCCCAAAAATCTGATTGTTAAAAAGGGCCTTGTGCCTTTCTCCTTTCTCTCTTCCTTCCTCATGCCATGTGATGCCTATTCCCCTTTGACTTCTGCCATGAGAGGAAGCTCGGTGAAGCTCTCAACAGGAGCAGATGCTGGTGCCATGCTTGTTATATGGCCTGCAGAATGATGAGCCAAATAAACTTCTTTTCTTTATAAATTACCCGGCCTCAGATATTTATTTATAGCAACACTAAATGGACTAGGGCAAGGAATATTGACAAACTATGAAATTTATCCAAGCTTCAGTGTACGGAATTTTTATTGGGCTTCTTTATGTAGTCATGACTGATTGATTGATTGATTGCCACTGTTGTTGAACTCAGTTTTCAGCACCCCTCTTCCTAGAGGTCATTATATCCTGTATCTCAAACGGTCCACCATGAGTCACCTCATTAGCATATTTTATTAAGTGTGGTCCAAGAGGCTCACTATGAGTAACAAAGACACTTCAATCACTCAGGAAATTTAAAGCATTTATAAATTACTTCCAGGAGTCAGTGGTAAAGGAGAGGCCTCTGTTTGGGCAAGGACAAATTATTCATGACACACCACCCAAAAAATATAACTAATTTTTCCTAAATCTACTGTAAACAAAAAATAAAATCTAGGCCCCCCAATCAACTGAACTCATTTGTATTTTGTTGTTGTTGTTGTGTGTTTTTTTTTTTGTTTTTGTTTTTTTGGTGGAAGGGGATGGAGTCTTCCTCTGTCAACTAGGCTGTGGTGCAATAGTGCAATCTCAACTTGCTGCAACCTCTGCCTCCGAGGTTCAGATAATTCTCCCACCTCAGCCTCCAGAGTAGCTGGAATTACAGGCACCTGCCATCATGCCTGGCTAATTTTTGTATTTTTGTAGAGTCGGAGTTTCACCATATTGGCCAGGCTGGTCTTGAACTCCTGACATGAGGTGATCCACCCACCTTGGCCTCCCAAAGTGCTGGGATTACACGTGTGAGCCACAGTGCCTGGCCTCAACTGAACTCTTTGGCCAAGGGAATCTCAGAGAAATCTGAAAAGTCATAAAGGTAACGCAGCTTAGACAAACTTCATTTTTGGAGTTTAGACACAACTGACCAGCATTAATGTGAAATAGCGATCGTGAGACTGACAGAATGGACTCTTTGTGACAATAAGATACCAAATTGTAAATAAGACTTAAGGCCTTGCAAGGCAAGGGTTACATCACAGCTTACAAAGCATAAAATCTCATTAAACTGGTTAACCTATTGTTAATCTGTTATGGCTTATTTCCAACCTGACTCTGGTATAGCATCACACAACAGATAGCACACCCCTTATCTTAACCTAAGTGTTCCTTTGTACCGACTTGTAGTCTTTAACAATGCTTCACTCTTTTAACCAATTGCAAATTAAAGAATGTCTGAATTCACCTATAACCTGTAAGCCTCCACTTCGAGATGACATACCTTTTCAGGCCAAACTAACGTATACCTTCCATGTATTGACGTGATGTTACCTGTAATTCCTATCTCCCTGGAATGTATAAAAACAAACTGTAACCTGACCACCTATGCACACTTTGTCAGAACCTCTTGAGGCTGTGTTCCTCAGGCCATGGTCACTTATATTGGCTCGTAATAAATTTGAGACTATAATAAATATTAAAAAATATAGAGTTTGGTTTTTTTCATTAAAATTGTTTTCACATTGTTATTTAGTGCATATTTAGAAAATCATTTTTTCTTTCTTTCCTTTCATTCTTTCCTTTCTCCTTCCTTCTTTATTTCTTTCTTCCTTCGTTTCACAGAGAGTTTCTAATTTAAACTAGAGACAAACTTTTTTTTGTGCTGGCAACTATTTCTCAGCAATTAGGAGAATTGCTGAATAGTAGAATTAGGAACATAGCTCTCTTTCATAAACTGGATGGTAGAATATCAGATGTCCACAAATGTCATTTCCTCAATATCTGCTCAAGAATCTCACTCAGTACATAAAAACGCATTTAAGCTATCCGTGAGAATGTTTTGTGTGCTGCAGAAGACCTGATTTGGAAAACACTATGTGAAAATTTACTGTAAATTTTTGGTTTTTGGCAGTACTAATACTAAACAGAAAGAAAGGCAGTAATGCAATAGAGTGGACATATTTGTTCCTCCCCTACACACTTACTGATATTAATTGGACAGACTTTATGAGTAAGTAAATTAAGATATCCTACTCCACTAGAAATATAATTGCTACCTTTCTTATATTTTCTTTCCTTTTCTCTTCTTTTTAAAATGTACCCTCCTCTGCCTTCATCTTCATTAGCCCTTTATTAAAATGCAAATGCCTTTGGTAAAGATCAATGCTTAGATAAATTTGCATCTGAGATGCTTAACCTGGTAAGAATATGGAAGAAAAAATATTGGGCAAAGTTAGGCAATGCATAGCTAGAAAAATATATATATAAAGGAATAAAGATAAGAGGAGAAACCCATGGAAGTATTTCAGAGTAGTCAAAGAGGAAGATTTTGGAAAGAATCAAAGACAGACTCTTTTTATGTTCCCTCAGATGGTTTTGTCAAATGAATTTAAGTAGCATGGCTTTGCTTCTCTTATTTTAGGTTGTTGGCTCTGTTAAAATAAAAACTTTAGACAAATTAAATTTAATGGAGTTTAATTTAGCAAATAAAATGATTTGTGAATTGGGCAGTCCTCAGAATCAGAGCAGATTCAGAGACTCCTGCAATGCTGCGTGGTTGGGGAGAATTTATGGGCAGAGAGAAAGGTACAGAATCTGCTGTATTGGTTACAGCTCAATGTCAGTCTTATTTGAACACAGTTTGAACAACTGGCTGCCTGTGATTGCCTGAAATCTATGATTGGTACGAGAGTAGGTTACAATTTGCTTATCCATCCAGTTAGGTTATAGTTCATAATGTTCAAAGAGACCTTTAGGCCAAACTTAAAATATGTAAGGAGGCAGCTTTAGGCTAAACTTAATTTAACAGCTCTTAGTTTGTGATAAAGCTGTCAGCATTAAGAAAAACTAGTTCAACTCAACAAAAAGAACAAACATAAGTTAAAGAAGCCTAGCCCATCTAAATCTACTAGCCAGGGTTATGAGATACATTCATGAAAGAAAAAAATAGTTATTGATTCAATTTAAAATATAGGGAAATATTGAATTGACATGAATTTTGAATTCTGAAGAGTAAAGAATAGCAATGTATGCACATTATCAAGTTACTTAAATATCCCAGGCTAACATCTTACTTGTCAAGAATTTTCTGCTAAAACGTGAACATTTTGCTGTTGCTTTTCCCCTCACGTTGAAGTCAAAACATCTAGAATCAAGTCCTGGCTCTGTTATTAACTGTCTCTCACATATTAGAAGCAATTGCTTATATCAGCTGACCTGCATTTTCCTCATCTATAAAAACAAAATAATCAATTATTATATATATGGTAAGATGATAAAATAATAATGATATATAATGGATGTGAATTGTAAAGTGTTCTGAAAAAGACCATTTTTGCAGAGAATCAAATTGTAAGATTTCTGGGGATGGAGAGCACCTGACTACATTCATCCTCATATGTCGCAGAAAGGCGTTCTGGACATTTGAAAAGAATATATGTACACTATAGATGCTACATATAGCCAGAGTATTCTTAAGAAGAAATAAAAATTTCAAATATTTTAAAATGTATTACCTACACTTCAGCCTCTTTTAATGATCAGATTGAAGAAGCAAGCCCTATGTGCTGGTACTGGTGGACAATACCCAGTTGTGCACATCTCTTTCAACTTTTTATTCAGTGAAGTCATTTTGTGAGCTTGAAATTAACCATCGTTAGAATATTTATATCAGAACAATCTGTAAACTTTGACAATTAGTGTCTCCTTATATTCCATCCCCCAACATTTACCAGCATACCTATGCATATATTGCAAATGGCAAGAAGAAGTAAATTGTAGGTGTCCAGTGACAGGAAGGAGGTTCCATTGTGTATCTGGTAATCATGTCTTTGCTGAGATTGTAAGTGATTTGAAGAAGCCTTATTTTCTAGGGAAGAAATGATATAATTGAAGAGAAGTAAGCTGAGGAATCTAGGTAAAGTGAACAATGTGAAGTAAGATTCCTAAGCCAGAAATTTGCAGATATTTTTGAGTGAGAGTCATTAGAATAGTTGGCTTTAGTGGACAGTGCAATTAATATTCATCCTATTTATAGTAAAAACAGTGTGTGTGTGTGTGTGTGTGTGTGTGTGTGTCTGTATAATATAAATCAGACTAGTAGGGTAAAGTCTTGAATTCTAGGCTGAGACATTTATGTAAATTAGTAGAGGGTGTGAGAACATGTAAAGCATGCAAGAATTTATAATACAAATTAAATGATCTCATCTGTACAACTATAAGAATAATTTAAATGGGCACTATATTAGAAGCTGACACCAGTTGAAAGACTGTTGTGATAATCCAGTTTTGAAGCCACATCAAGTCTTTTGTAAGTTCAGATAGTATAAAAATGCATGCAGGAAAGAAGGAAGGCAGGAAGACAAGAAGGAAGGAAATAAAAAAGTCCAACCTTGAATGTAAAGGGCCTGAACTACTAGTTCTGCTTATAGAAATCAGAGAGCACAGGTTTTGTTTTTTTTTCTCAATAACATCTGTCATCTTTATAAAAGTTCTTTTTAACAGAAGATCTTGAAAGTGTTTTTTTTTTTTTTTTTTTTTTTTTTTAATTGAGGCAGGATTTTGCTTTGTCACCCAGGGTGCAGGGCAGTGGAGAGATCACAGCTCCCTGTAACCTTTAACTCCTGAACACAAGTGATCCTCCTGCTTCTGACTCTAGAGTAGCTAGAACTACAGGCATGTGCCACTAGGCTTGGCTAATTTTTTCATTTTAATTTTTGTACAGATGGAGTCTCATTATGTTGTCCAGGCTGATGTCAAACTTTTGACCTCAAGTGATCTCCCCACCTCAACCTCCCAAAGTGCTGGAGTTACAAGTATGAATCACCATGTCAAGCTAAAAGTTTGATTTTTCAAGTAGAAAATATGTTGATTTATAAAATGGTCTAAAAGAAGCTTGTTACCTTGAGAGATAATATTCACCACTGATGAAAGCACATGCATGTTTATTCTTCTGGTAGAGGCAAATAAGGACTGAGCAGCATTTTGAGCCTCTCAAATCAATCCCTCTCCTTTCTTACCTCACTAGTTTGTTTTCATTTTCTAAAATAATAGATTTTGAATATCACATTTCATTACCATTGCTCTCAAAATTCACTTACCATTTATGGATTAATCACTGTTGTTTGGTGCCGAAACCAGCTCGTTCAGGGAGACCCTAACCCAGAGGTGCTAGAGGAATTAAAGACACACACACAGAAATATAGAGGTGTGAAGTGGGAAATCAGGGGTCTCACAGCCTTCAGAGCTGAAAGCCCCAAACAGAGATTTACCCACATATTTATTAACAGCAAACCAGTCATTAGCATTGTTTCTATAGATATTAAATTAACTAAAATATCCCTTATGGGAAACGAAGTTATGGGCTGAATTAGAGGAATAGGTTGGGCTAGTTAACTGCAGCAGGAAAACGCTCTTAAGACACAGACTGCTCATGCTATTGTTTGTGGCTTAAGAATGCCTTTAAGCGGTTTTCCACCCTGGGCGGGCCAGGTGTTCCTTGCCCTCATTCCCATAAACGCAAAACCTTCCAGCTTGGGTGTTAGGGTCATTATGAACATGTTACAGTGCTGCAGAGATTTTATTTAGGGCCAGTTTATAGCCAGATTTTGGGGGGCTTGCTCCCAACAGTTTGGTATGTTTTATACAAATCATGTGTTTTTCCAGGATCTGCAGAACTGTCTTTTCAATTTATAACATTCTGTGTTTTCTAGCAAAAACTCAGTTTCTCATATAATTGTGATATTTTTGTATTTCTATTCTCTTTATAACATAAAATATAATATCATATAATTAAGGGCCAAAATATCACTAGACATCATCTAATTTTACCTTATTTTATATATTAAAAAAATTCTGAGATGTTAGCTTACTTGTTAGGGTCACATAGCTCATTAGTGGAAATTCAACGTTCTTATTTTTTGTTCACAGTTAATGATAAATCCTAGTTTATTTTTAGTTTTAAGTTCTTGATTTATGTTCCTTGTATATGTGTGCCATCTCCACTTATTTTAATGTGGATTTCAAATTGTAGAGTTTACTTTTCAACCCACATAAAGATAGACATTGAAAGTCACTATGTAGTCAGAATATAACATAATCAAAACTTTTCATTTTAAATTGACTCCAATTCTAACTACAACCTAAAATTGCAAAACATAGTCAAGCAGTGATCTCTGCCACTCATATCAGAGATCCAAATGGCCCTGCAGATGTGAAACTGTCTGTTGCTATGGGAGAACAGCTGGAATCAGTTAATGATTCAAGTCAGCATGAGCTGACACACTAGACTAGAAAGTTTCATCTCCATGGTAGAGAACTGTAGGAAAAGAAGCAGAGAGCCAGATTGTTGCAGGAATGGCCTCATGAGGGACACAGCTGTAAGCATAATTAAGCCCATCTCCCACTGACAAGTGGAATTGTTTACCCTTGTACATATGAAACTCAGTCATCAGCAGGCTAGTCTTCGATCCTATCCCCACTGTGATAGAGAACCAATTCACTAGGGACAGATATCCTAAAGAGACTAATAAAAATCACCTTTGTTTAGGAATTGCAAGAAGCTAGTATGAGAGAAACACAAGATTTTTCTTGGTGATCTTTGTTTTTCTTTCTTCTTATATGGTCAGTAGTTATTTAGATTTTAAAAGATGAAGAATTGGAGATATATTTACCACCTTACACAGTTTTGGGTGTAATTTTTTTTAAAAAAAGGCTAAACTGGGGAGTGTGATGTCATGATTGAATAACATGACAACAATGAGATAGGACACTTAATTAAACTAGAGTTAAACTTTAATACTAGTTTGAGTTTGGAACTCTTTTTTTAAATACAAAATCATCATCTAACTACTACAATATATAGGAACTAGGAAATAAAGTTTATTCTTAGAATTACTTCAAATTTTTATAATTATGCCTACCAGGAGTGATTAAATGAGAGTAGGATATATATTTCCCAGAATCTTTTATTTAGCCAGGTTCTCACTTATAATTGTTAGAGAAGTAAAAGATGAAGCTATAGTTGGTGATGACATGGGGAAATTTAATTTTACTCTTCTCATCTCCTGTTCCTAGCAACACAGAGCAGTAATATAAGGGATAAACACACACTCACACACACACACACACACAGCAAACAGCAAAGGTGATAGTAGTGCATTTATTCATTTAACAAATATTCACCGAACATGTACTTTGTTCCAGGCATCATTTTTCTTGGTGCTAAAAGACATAAAAATGAACAATAGACAATGTCCCTGTCCTCATTTAACACTGATGGATTACACACACACGAACAGTAAGATTATGGATGCGAAGGGAATAAATAAAGATAATAATATGGCTGTCATCAAAGTAATAACAGTCCTTGATGAATGAAAAGCTATCTTTTTATTTATAATACAGAGCCTTACAGAGTTGCATTGCCACTATCCCTACTGTCACTATCACCACCATTATTACTACTGCTATCAACAAGTTTTTCTATATGGGCAAGCCATTATGCCAAGCAATTAACATGTACTAAATTCAAACCAACCAGAAAATAACTTCATCATTTTATAGATGGAAAATTAAGGCACAGAGAAATGAAGTCATTTATCCAATGATTTGATAAAACTTAAATATTTCAAATGTGGTAGAGCTGTAAATGAAATACAAGATCGTCTAATTCCAAAGTCCATGCTCCTCTCCATTCCATTCTACTAAATTGGCAAATATGTGCTGATTTTTTAAACAAATAAATGCATGAGTACTACCTCCAAAAAGATCTATCTTTCCGAATGTGAATCAAATACTTCTTTCTCGTAAGTTAGAAAATATTGTTTTGACATCCATAATCTCTAGATAAAAATCTCAATTTGCAACCAGCATTTGATAAGGTCCAAGATGCATACCTTTAGGGTAGTCAAGCCTGTGAAGACAGATTTTAATTATGGAATAAGCCTAAGAACTGACAGAATCTACACTTGGTTCAAAGAAACTGTCAAAGGTTCTTCCGACTCTTCTACAGAGACTCTTCAAACATATGTAAGAGTGTTCTCACTGTCCTCTCATTACTTGGGGGTATACACTTTGCAATTCTAGGCATAGTTTATCCAGAGAATGGATTAAATGGGATTGCAAATGAATAATGTTAGGTAAATAAATTAACAAATACTGAGTACAATTAACGGACTTTATCGAACTGAAGTGGCAATTCATTTTGCTCAATAAGCTTGACAAATTCATCACATTGGTGCTTCTTTCCTCATCTTTGGTAAAGATAAGACCAAAGCTGGCATTAGGGCAGATGTGAGACAATCCATCTGGGGTAATGTTCAAGCAGACTCACTGCAGAGAGAAAAAAGTGATTATGTACTTGAATGGGTAAGTTGACACGTGTAAACTAATGCAGGGCAAGAGTTAAAAAAATTCTACAAAAAGCAACAAATTTTCCATCATCAAAATAGTTTCAGATGCAGGAAAGGCCCATTAGTAATATTGGGCTAAAGTTTGATTCTATTTTATCAATTCCACCCAGCGTGTACTTCCCTTTCACATGAATCTTATATGAATATAAACCTTTCCTTTACTGACTGTGGCCCCTTTGGCATTCTGGGTATTTCATGACTTCTCTCCATAATACTTTGAAAATCTTTACAGAGAATAAAGGTTGGAGCTGGGACATCCTCTATGTCATTTCCATTATGAGATGTACAATCATCCTTGTCCGTAATTCTTATACTATACACAAATTCTGAGTAGATTGCAGTTACATGTCTTTCTTCACCTTTGTCATTTTTGCCTGAATCAATATTTCATGCTCCTTTTCAGGAGCTTAGTTTACTTTTATTCTGTAAGAGACCATGCATACATATAGAAATTTTATGTCTCACACAACAATATTCAGTGATAGAGCATTATCCTTAAAATAAAATACTTGATTGGATGAATGGAGGAAAGAAGATGTCTGGCAACTATATGGCCCATCCAAGGACTGTCTGTAAAATATTAGTGTACTTTATTTCAAAATGATGTATAGGAAGGAAATAACTGGAGACATTTTAGTCTATTTAAATCTAGAACCTGTGATTCAGTGATGTCTATTTTTATTTCACTTTGTAAGATGTTTTAATAAAAATAAGTATAATATAGTTATATAATTATAAACACTTTAATATCTTTACAAATAGTAGTTAATTACTTACAGGCATAAAAGAAGCAATTTCTTCTTCTACTTCTCTTCTTCTTCTTCTTCTTATTATTATTATCAAGACGTAGTCTTGCTCTGTCACCCAGGCTGGAGTGCAGTGGTGTGATCTCAGCTCACTGCAATCTCCACCTCTCGGGTTCAAGCGATTCTTCCGTTTTCAGCCTCCCAAGGAGCTGGGGCTACAGGCGCTTGCCACCACGCCCAGCTAATTTTTGTGTTTTTAACAGAGATGAGGTTTCACCATATTGGCCAGGCTGGTCTCAAACTCCTGACCTTGTGATCCGCCCATCTCGGCCTACCAAAGTGCTGGGATTACAGGCATGAGCCACTGTGCCCAGCCAAAATAAGCAATTTCTATCCTGGTAAAGTATTTTTATTCTAATAAATCAATGGAAAAGAAAACATACAGATAGACTTGTATAAGAGAAAAAAATTATACTATGTATTTGAATTCAAATATATCAAGACAGGTGACCAGTACATAAATAACAACACCTTTTTCTTAAGAACTGGAAAATATTAAAAACAAGTATGTTGGCATTGGTGTCTGACTGCTGCTTTACTTGGAAAGTGTACCTACAGAAAGAATATGTGATTTTCCAACTCAAATAGATATGGAAATTAAGAGGTAAGCTATAAAGCAGGTTAGCGAAGGTGTATAAAAAATTCCTCCATAAATTTGCATGCCAATTTTGTATATTTACAAAATAATCTCACATGTGTTAGCTTATTTGATGTGAGGAACAAATTTTTGAAGTAGCCTATGTTACCAATGAGAAAAATGCAATTTAGGGAGGCTGCAACTAGCCAGAGATGACACAAGCCATGGAAAAGTTCAGATTTGAATTTGGATTTTCTGATTTATGGCAAATGCACTTTGAGGCTTTGTTTCAACTGCCATCTCCAGTTGATTGGCAGTGATGCATGAATGCTATATACAAAGGATTTTAAGACCCTCTTTGTACTCATTGGGAAAGGGTGTTGTGATTAATACAGATGTGACCATGGACTAGGACTTTAAATGGCAGCATAAATACCATGAATTTTTTGTTGCATTTCTACATGTTTCCTTAGTTCAACTTGAAAACTATTGCAGTGAAATCTCTGAAGCAACCTCATCTAGACATATATATGTATTTCTCACATCCTTCTCTTTGCATTAATACTAATTAGACCAATTAACTCAATTTGTCATCAATATACTTTTGTTATATTTTTACAATTGGTAAAAAACAATAGGTTTTTGTTTTGCATTGTTTGTTTTTAAATGTTTTTATCATTTCTGACTGTAACAAACCAGCTCGTTTGTCAGGACTCAATTTGCATCCCGCCTCTTCAATAAAGCACTTTCCTTTTTTTCCCCTTTAAAATATTTAGTTCTCTGTCCTCTCCTTGTCTGTAACACAACGAAGTTGTCCTTCTTGCTCACAAAAGTGGTAATGTCCATGCAGATGAACACTGTTCCAGGAGTCATTCTGAAACCAGGTTCTTTCCAAAAGGTGGCTTTGCTATATCTTTCAGTGATCTTGAGTCCTACACTGGATTTTCTGCATTAAATTCATTCCTGACTCCCACACATGCCAGTATGACTCTTTTTTCTTTCTTTCTTTCTTTTATTTTTTCTAGTTGAAACTTATACTCTGGGGATATCTTCTCACACCATGTATTTCAGGTGGAATTTTTTATCACAGTAACTGAGCAGCTGGGATCTTGTCCCAGTCTTGGGTGGAGATAACTCCTCCAAAGGTCTGCACCCTTTAGCCAAAGTAATTGGTTTAGAACAATAAAATATCTCACCAGGATTATTGTTCCCCCAGTAATGAAAATATGTGAGTTTAGAGATTTTTAAACTATTACGGTAAAGTTGTTTACAGTAGGAGATGGTGAATCCAAATCAAAAAAATGTAGAGGGAGACAGAGAAAGAAAAAGATGTTGGACAACACAGAAAGAAAGATCTTTGACAACAGTGTCTGAGTCTCTGGATTCAGTCAAACTGATCTCTAACTTTTTAGTTAGATAAGAAAGTTTATTTACTTCCTTTGAGAAATTGGGTTCAAAAGCAACTATATGGGTATTTACTAAACTGTTTCCTTCTGTATTAGTACTAGTTCTTTTGGTGACCTCTACTAACTTGGTGGACTATTAATAATGACATAAATCCTGTAGAAGTGCTTGAAGCCTGACCCAACCACACTCAGTTTGAATAAATGTTATGATAATTCAAAGTCTTCTATTTAAAAAAAAATTAAAGGCTCTAAAGAGTCTTGAAGGAAATTAAAACAAAAAGAAAAAATGATTATTTCAAGGAGCAATTGGTTAATTTCCTCAGTAGCCACATGTTTCAAAAAACTGTCATGTAAAAATCAGGTTTTTGGCAAATGCTATCTCATTTAATGATTAAATGTTGCTTATGTAAATATGTGAAGTTAACAATTTATTCTTCTCTGGGTTTATTTTTTTTTGTTTGGGATAGGGAGAAAGAGAAGAAAAGAGAATAAAAAAGTTTGAAGATCTACATTTCCAGGCAAATGTCAATTTTTTCTTAATTTGGTATTTAATAGTAAAGGTACTAGGCTCAATTTGTGTGCAAAAATTCCTGAGCCTTAAAATCTAATGAAATTTGTCCAGCTAGATTTCAGGCATCCTTGATACCCATAACTCCTTTCTTCTTTCAGATTTCTTCTTTAAAAAATGGAAATGTCGGCCGGGCGCAGTGGCTCACGCCTGTAATCCCAGCACTTTTGGAAGCTGTGATGGGTGGATCACGAGGTCAGGAGTTTGAGACCAGCTTGGCCAATATGGTGAAACCCCGTCTCTATGAAAAATACAAAAATTAGCCCAGCATGATGGCACAGAGCTGTAGTTCCAGCTACTCGGGAGGTTGAGGCAGAAGAGTCGCTTGAACCCAGGAGGCGGAGGTTGCAGTGAGCTGAGATTGTACCACTACACTCCAGCATGGGCAACAGAGGGAACTCTGTCTCAAGAAAAAAAAAAAAAAAAAAAGGAAATGTCTATCCTAATTTCATGCCATCATTGTGTTTTAGAAGCATTTTAGAAGCATACAGCTTTTATTGTATCACAGGTTCACAGTTGTTGAAACGAATTTTTTCTCAGGATGAATCATATCAAACTCTCACCCATATCTGATTTAGATAAGATTTGGGAATGAGTTAAGACTTTGGGGGCTGTTGAGATGGGTGAATATATTTTGCAATACGATGATGTGATGGACAGATAAGACAGTCACCTACAAGTCAAGGAGAGAAGCCTGTAACAGATCCTTTAATTATGAGCCACAGAGGGAACCAACTGTTGACTGATAACAATTCCCAAGAATAATACAGAAAACTTTAAAAAGCAGAGTATAGTGGACTTCTGATAACAAAGGGAAGGAGAATAACGAGAGAAGATGAAGCAAGAGGGGATCTAGATAGTGGAGGGCCTAAAAAAGATGTTAAACATTTAAGTGTTATCCTTGGTGAACTAAGAAACCATTTATAAGATTGGTGTTTTAAAAGAAACATTATGATTTAATACTGAGTATAGGTTAGAGAAACATAAAAGCAGATATGAATTGATAAGTAGAAGACCTCTATAGTAGACCAAACAAGGTAGTACTGATTGACAGTGGAGGTGTGAGGCAGAGGAGCAGACTATAACATCCAGATATTGATAGCAATGATAACAATTGATGCAGTAGAGATCAAAGGATGGTAAAGAGGCATGTATATCTATGGAGCAAAGGAGCTCTGTTGTGCATGTATCTACCTTGATGTGCCTACAAAACAGCAGAGTGCCATTAGGCAACCAAATGATCATTTGAGTGTAAAACTCAGGAGAGGTATCAGGGCTAGAGAAAGATTTTCATGAATTGAAACATAATTATGACAATGGAAACTATTATTTAGCAAGTGTAGATGTAAAAAGAGTACTTAACTTTTTAAGAGTTCCTTTTTAAACTGTAGATTTTCAGTCTAATAATGCCTAAAGACTCATCTTACAAATGCTTTAATTAGAATAAATAAAATACATTAAATTAAAAAACAAGCTAATTGTATTGCAATGTGTACTATAAAAAATATTTTTAAGCAAATTTGCAATATAGTCAATGCATGTGCTTCTTCATTGACACATTCAATATCAAGATGTATCTGATGTTTAATTATAATCAGCCACTTAGGAGGCTGAGGCAGGGGGATTGCTTGAGCCCAGGAGTTTGAGGCTGCAGTAAGCTATGATTGCACCACTGCACTCCAGCCTGGGCAACCAAGAAGGACACTCATCTCCTAAAAAAAGTATGCCAATTTCAAATTTGGATAGAGATAAATAATATTTTGAGATTCTTGAAACAATTATAATGTGATATATCACATTGTGATTGTGGTATGTAATCATATGAAATTATCACTTATTTTATTCATGACAAATTTTCACACATTGCTAATACTAATGTATTCTGTAGCCTACATTTAAAGAAAAAGATACATTTTAACTGGAGGCTAATGGAAAGTTTTTTGTTTTGTTTTTGTTTTTGTTTTTCCCATCTGAGGTCATGGGGCTTCTGTCCACAAACACTCAATTCTATGGAACTCAGGATAGATTCTGTAAAAAATGAGATATACAGCATAGTTCTGAGTTTTTCTCTGCATAGTCTAACAAGGAATAGGTAAAGGGGAAAAAAAAAACACAGCAAGGGAGACATAACAAATCACTAGTGCATTAAGAGTAAAGCCAAAGGAAGACATTTTAGGAAAACAAGGGAAGAAAGTACTTGTAAGGGAAATAAAGGTCAAAATTGTTGGATTGCAGCTCTGGAATTTGAAAAACCCATGGATCTTGCTTTGTAATGCTCTAGGTGTATGAATTTACACTATATTATTTAAATCCTTTAAGCCTCAATTTCTTCTTGTGAAAGGATAAATTGACTTTATTAAATTTTCCAACTCTTTAATTATTCCTATAACCATGCCCTTTGAATTTTGGTTTTGAAGTTCTGCCTACTAAAGAGCTAGAGTCTAATTCCCCATATTTTGACTCTTGGGCTTGGTCATGTGATTTGCTTTGGCTAAAAAAGGAAGTTTTAAGCTTAGCCCTTAGGAGGCATGGCATATTCCTTCCTTGCTTATACCACTGCTATCACAGTTGCTGATGGAAAGAGTCCAGGTTATTGGGGTGTTGAACAAAGTATTAGACAAAAC
This sequence comes from Homo sapiens, assembly GCF_000001405.40. Lineage (NCBI taxonomy): Eukaryota > Metazoa > Chordata > Mammalia > Primates > Hominidae > Homo > Homo sapiens. The sequence goes on along the minus strand of NC_000011.10, from coordinate 37,841,792 downwards.
ACACAAACAAAGCAAGGAAATAATGAAGCAACAAAATCAGAGATTTATTGAAAATGAAGGTACACACCACAGGGTGGAAGCGGGCCAAGCAAGTGGCTCAAGAGCTCAGTTACAGAATTTTCTGGGATATAAATACCCTCTAGAAGTTACCCATTGGTTACTTGTTGTGTACCCTATGTAAATGAAGTAGTGACCAGCAATCAGTCTGATTGGTTGTATGGAGCAATCAATCAGAGGCTGAAGTGAAGTTACAAAGTTGCACCCTATGCAAATGTCTGCTTGGTTGTGGAAAGTGACCAACCAGAGCCTGAAGTGAAGTTACAAAGTTATATACTCTTTTGCAAATGAAGGCTTGGCCCATGACCAGCCTGCTTGGTTGTGGGAAGGACCCAATCAGAAGTACTTTTAATTTTTCATCTGCCATACAGAAAAGAGTGGGGCATTGCAAATGGAGTAGCCTCTGGTCCTTTTTCTACTTCGGCATGGAAAGTTGGAGTTTTCCTTTTGATTTAGTTCTCGAAAGTCAGCATGAATTGGCCTTTGGTTCCCTGCCTCCAGACCCTAGTCTCCTGTCTTATCATTACAATAACATACTTGGAATAACTTGCTGGAAGATGAAAGACCTGTGGGCAGAGTCAGTTCATCTCAGTTGCCCCAGCCAAGGTGAATCTAGATGTTCCAATAACTAGTGGCTCCTCTTAGACATGAAAAAGTCCAGCCAAGATTAGTGCAGCAGTATAGATAGGCTATAGCTTATTCCAGATGCTAGAGCAGTGAAAATTTATTGTTGTGTACCACGGAAGTTTTGGAGTTGTTACACAGAATTACCATGGTAATAGATAATAGATATTAATTGATACAGCCTAAAAAACAGAAATAGTAGCATTTTCTTTCTTTATAGTGTGTCATAAAAAATAGAGAAGACAGCCAGGCATGGTGGCTCATGCCTGTAATCCTAGCACTTTGGCAGGCTGAGGTGGGTGGATCACCTGAGGTCAGGAGTTTGAGAACAGCCTGGACAACACAGTGAAACCCAGTCTCTACTAAAAATACAAAAATTAGCTGGGCCCTGTGGAGGGCACCTGTAAAAATCCCAGCTACTCTGGAGGCTGAGGCAGGAGAATTGCTTGTACCCAGGAGGTGGAGGTTGCAGTGAGCTGAGATGGCGCCATTGCATTCCAGCCTGGGAGACCAGAACAAAACTCTGTCTCAAAAAAATAAATAAATAAATAAATAAATAAATAAATAAATAAATAAATAAAAGAAGAAGAAGATGAAGAAGAAGATGAAGATAAAATATACACAGTTGATTCTTGAATAACATGGGTTTTAACCGTGTGGGTCAACTTATATGTCAATTTTCTTCAGCCTCTGCTACCTCTGTGACACTAAGACATACTTCTCCTCTTCCTCCTTCTCTTAACTTACTTGATATGAAGATGATGAGAATGAAGACTTTTATGATGATCCACTTCCATTTAATGATGAGAAACTATATTTCTCTTCCTTATGAATTTCTTAATATCATTTTCTTTTCTCTGGCTTACTTTATTGTAGGAATACAATATATAATACAGATAGCATACAAAATATGTGGTAAGTGACTGTTTATGTCATTTGTAAAGCCTCTGGTCAAGAGTAGGCTCTTAGTTGTTCAGTTTTAGGGCAGTCAAAAATTATACATGGATTTTTGACTACACGGGAGGTTGTCACCCCTAACTCCTGTGCTGTTCAAAAGTCACCTGTACATTTTAGAAGAAATTGAGAAACTGTCCAGATTCGAAAGAAAGATAGGTAGATAGGTAGTTGTCATAAATGCTGTTTGGATGATAAGCAAAAGAACACTTAAATATGCTGTTATCAATCCGATGGTCTCTACTATTTTAGAGCAGTCTTAATGAAGTAGTGATAGCAAACAAGAAAAAAAAAAGCAACCTGTTCAGAGGAGTTTTGGAATAAATAAGAGATGAAAGGAAAGCTGTATGCTAATAATAACTATGGCTAACATTTACTTAGCACTTACTGTATTCCAGGTATGATACTAGATATTTCATGTACATGTCCTTTTATTTAATTCTTAAACAATGTGAATTTACCAACCTACTTTACACCTAGCATGGAATAAAAGCACAGGTTAAAATTTTTATTTGGAAGGAACAATTTCTGTAACTTTCAAACAAAATACCTTATTTGACCTTTCTGACAAGGAGAGAGTGGTTCAGTATATTTCTCAGGAGGTATCATTTATGTAGTTGCCACTCCATCGGACGCATCTTATATTTTTCCTTGAAAGGTTTTTCAAAAAGAGGTTGTGCAGTATTGCATTTTAGCAACACTGACATGAAGCACTATAAATCTTCAAATGTTTATTTAGGCATTTGCATCCATAGCTTCAGCTACTTGGCAAAGAATCTAGCGGAGCAAAATTTTGAAGCAAAGCTGGTAAAAAGACCAAGATGCAAGCGCCAGGCAAAAGGAGCTGTGTTAGAATTTTTGCACCAAGTTTAGGCCCTATGCCTCAGTTTCATCAATCTTAAATTCAAATATTAATACTATTTCTCATGACAATGAGAATTAAGTGAAATTATACATGTGAATGCTTAATAAAGTGTCTAATACATTGATAATTATTTTTGAAGAGTAATCATGGTACCCATGATGAATAGTGTAATTGCAAATAGTTGATAAAATAAGATTAATATTTAATTTACTAATAGCGTGTATTTAGGCATTACTGTCAAAATTTTAATACAAAGAGTGGATGCACACATATGAGTTCTATGAGAAAGCCTAAATCTTTGATTCTAGTGAGGAATAATTAATTTAGAAACATGAATATAGTATTAAGACTCAGGAATAAAGGATTCTATTTCCAGATTTGTGAGTATCTTTGTGAATTCGGGTATGGCCTGTTGCTTTTGTAACCAAGATTCAATTTCCTCTTTTATAACATGAAGTAGGTAGATTCTAACTTTCTTTTATGAGAAAATATTCTGTGATTTTGGTCAACTTTGAATTTAGCATTCAGAAAGAATACCGGCCACTGTAGTCTGTACTCAGAACAGAAGAATAAGAATGAATGTATAATTTAAAGTAGTGAAGGTACCTCCCTTTGACTTTGTCAGATTATTGACTCTGGTTTGCTTCAGACATTACCTGCTACAGAACCAAGGCAATATCAGAAATCTATGAAAGAAATAGCAGACTTTCCAAGGACTATTTCAGAGTGACCCATTCATTTCCAAGTCTTTTATAAGAAGAGAAATAAAGCATTAAAATGGACAACTTCTCCACTGGTTCTCAAACAGGAAAATGTGGAAGCTTTAGGAAGGCCTCTGGCTTTTCTGTTCCACAGATTAAATTCCGCAAATTAACGTAGGGCCAACACAATGAGGGGGTGGTTGTGATATGGAGGCTTAAGGGCAGTGAAAGCAGCATCCCTGTAATCCAGTGCCAAAAGATCTGCACAAGGGATCCTCTTCTAGCCCTGGGCAGTTCCTGAAATGAAACCCTGACTAACTGGCAGCAAATACTTTCATATAAATGGAAGGAGTAAGCTACATGAATCCAGAAAGTTACCCTCTGTGACTGTGTCTGGTCTGGAAAGGTACATTGCGCTCTCATCTATGGTCCATAGGCAACCAGCAGGCTCTTAATGTTTTCCTTGATGAATTAAGAACTGATCCAAAATTCTGTGTCTTTTTTTCTTAATTACACATGTGCATGTCAACATCTGTGTGTGTATGTATGTCATAAAGATGACATTCTTTTTCACTTTAATGCATTACTCAGATATCCTACTGGTGACATTTTATTTTATTTTATATTACATTTGTAAGAAAAAGGGAGTTTACTGATAAAAATTTACCAAGTTCTTCATTTTAGACTCTACCACAAGTCCTGACTGCATTGTAAGACTGAACAGTACAGGTGCAAATGCAGATGGTTAGAAAGCATGTAATAGTCAAGAAGAGAGAGGTTTTGCAATTAAGATATTATCAATAAAGTTTCATAGTCATGTTTCACCGCAAGTTTTAGCTGTGATTCTCTTTCATTTAATTGACATATTTAAAAAAATTTTCACGTTTGCTCTTTTGTAACTTGTGTGGTTATCAATTTTGTTGTTATTTTGTTTCTCTCTATCCCTCTGTTATCTCACATTTCTTCTGTTCCTAATAGTAGAAACAGACGTGCTAGGTGAACTATGGAATCTTTTGTCTCACATAAGTGGATCAAAATCTTGTCAAGTTTCAGAATCACTGCATTTAAGCACTATTTCTATGCCCAGTGCCCTTTCCCAGGCTCACATGTTTTTCACAATGCTGCTGAAACAAAATATCCTCCTGAAACTCCACTGGGGTTATTCTTGAAATATAACCATGGTGCATTGCATTGCATTACATACCTCGTTGGGTTGGTGTTTGTTTCAGTTATTTTTGTTGCATAAAAAATTACTGTAAATTCAGTGTCATAAACAATCATTTTGTTGTGTTCAATGATTCTATGGATGCAGATTTCAGAAAGGATGCAGCAAAGTTGCTGTCTTTCTATATGATGTCTGTAGACCGAGCAGGGAAAACTTAAAATCTGGGTCTGACTTGACACCTGAGGACAGTGAAATCATATGAAGGTTCATTCATGCACAAGTCTAATAAACTGTACTTGATGTTTTAACCTCTTAGACTTCATTGTTCTCTTCAGTAATATGGGGATAATTTTAGTACCTAATTCAGATTTCTTATAAGTTTTATATATATTTTTGTATGTGAGTAGGCAGATAGGTAGGTGCATGTGTCCCTCTACAAAATTATATGAACCAAGGAGACGAAGGTTTATTTTATTTACGTATGTAATCATAAAATATTATGACCCATAGTAAGTGCTCCTTGCATATTTCATATGAAATAATGCAGAGAAAGTTTTTATCAAGGAGTCCCATATAAAGTAAAAGCTCAAAAATAATGTTTTTGTTTGAAAAAAAATTATTAGACTCCGTCTGGTAGAGCATAATGGTTTTGAGCACAGACACTGAAAATATACTATCTAAATTCTAATGCCAGCTCCACTATATGCAAACAGTGGGCCTGGCTTTAGTTTTCTTATATGTAAACTACAATGATTTAAAATAATAGTTCCTATTCCTTAGCATTATTGTGAGGTTTACATGCATCCATCGAGTTGATGATGTACAAACTGCTAGATCAGATTTGGAACCACTTCTAGATATCTCACAGGGTGCCCTTTGACTGCAGGTCAGGGATTTGGAAATGGGTTTCTATGGGAAAATAACTAAAGCCTGGGAATCCCGGAGACCAAGAAAAATAGGGCCGTATCAGAACCTAGTGGATTATAAGCCAGACATTTAAAATGTGTATTTTCCTATTCTCAGCACGGATTTCTCTTAAATTCTCCCTTAGTAATTTAGGGAAGCCTTTTGAAGACCTGTCTCTCTCAGCTGTCAGAAATGAAAGATCTTTCAAGTATTAAAAAGGAAAATGCCCTCCACACTTCTTCTCTTGTATTCTGTTTGATTTAAGCATGTTGTGATAATCAGAAGAGAACCCCAAGAAGTGAAAACCCAAACAGAACAGAACTAAGAGTAAGTAGATCTACTACACTCCATTTGAAAATTATTTTTTAATGTTAACCTAGAAAATGCTGAATTCAATTCTTTTACACTAGTTGAAGTTTCTTTCTAGCTTTGTACACTGAAGTCATGTCGATCACCTTCCCACCATCCCTATAAAAACAGCTTTCCATGAGTCAGTTTTGGAGGTTGAGTTTAGATAGGGACATAAAGTAATCTAATTAAACTAATTGAAAGTGATATATAAAATTTTTAACCTTCCAGAGACATTTCAATTTTAAATGAGGTAGTTTATTAAAAATATTGAATCTCTAGTTGATGAAATGTCAGGTTGTAAAATAAAAGAAAAATGAAAAAACCTAATACTTTTTGAAAGTACACCATGTACCAGGATTTTACATATAACTATTTTTAAAATATCTATTTTTACATATAACTTTTTAAAAAAAGTTACATATAAAAGTTACATATAACTATTTTAAAAATAGTTATATAAAAATAATATCTGTAAATTAATGCTTTATATAATAAGTATATATTTTTGTTTAAAAGATTTTTTAAAAGTTCCCAGAAGTTCTCACATTTGACTAAGTTGCATAGCTAATATAGCAAAGAAGTTGGTATTGAAACTTCCTTTGTGCAAAGGACCACTCCAGTACCATGTAACAATAGTCCTAGCACCAGTATTCTTCATTCTGAGCCCCACAATAATTGGTTGGAACAATGTCAAGTAAAAATTTGGTACATCTAAATTCATTACATGAGAATATATTTTGATTGATAAAGGCATATTATAAGTTTCACAACTATAACAAGGTGTGTAGAATTTTTAATGATGTGAATATGTTAAAACAGATGGGAAAATAGAGCCATTTTCATTGGGTTTATAGAGCAAGGCCTGTTTTGTTGATCTATTTGTCATGAATGGGTATCTTCTTATTTTAAACTTTTTTTTTGAGGTAGGGACAAGTTGCTAACTTTCCTTCAAAGGTAATAACTACTAAATTATTTTCTTATCACTGGAAACCTGTTGCTATTCTAATACTCTATAAATACATGACAAAATTATTGTAACAAATTAACATGGGAACATAAAACCAAATACCACATGTTCCCACCCATAACTGGGGGCTAAACATTGAGCATACATGGACTTAAAAATGGGAACAATAGACACTGAGGAGTGCTAGAGTGAGGAAGGAGGGAAGTGGGTGTAGGCCAATAACCTATCTATTGGGTACTGTGCTCCCTCCTTGTTTGATGGGACCACATGTACCCCAAACCTCAGCATCATACAATATACCCATGTAACAAACTGCACATGTACTCCCTGAAACAGAAAGAAAGAAAGAAAGAGAAAAACAAAGAAAGAAAAAAGAAAGACTACATGAAGACATTTTTGAAGAATAGAGAATAAATAAATAAATACATGCATGGCAAGGCATGTATGGTATATTTATTCTCAGGATTTTTTGAAGACACCTTTGCATTATTGCCTTGGTTATTATGGAAATAATGTTTTGACTTACCAACATTTCTCTTTGTCTTGCATGAAATCCATATATATTTCCACTGATGGCTCCCTTCAGCATCAAAAAGTGATTTCTGCAACCACAATACATTTCCACAATTCCAGTATGCAACAATCAAATACCTGGACACACAACATTACACAGATAATGTGGAATGTTGGGCTTCATGTCCTCTGATAAACATTTACTTTTTGCTTGTCAGAAGCTTTCATTTTTATTCCAAATATTTTGGCATTCAGTGGTAGGAACAATTTTTGTTTGTTTGTTTGTTTTATTATTATACTTTAAGTTTTAGGGTACATGTACACAATGTGCAGGTTAGTTACATATGTATACATGTGCCATGCTGGTGTGCTGCACCCAGTAACTCGTCATTTAGCATTAGGTATATCTCCTAATGCTATCCCTCCACCCTCCCCCCACCCCACAACAGTCCTCAGAGTGTGATGTTCCACTTCCTGTGTCCAAGTGTTCTCATTGTTCAATTCCCACCTATGAGTGAGAACATACGGTGTTTGGTTTTTTGTTCTTGCAATAGTTTACTGAGAGTGATGATTTCCAGTTTCATCCATGTCCCTACAAAGGACAGAAACTCATCATTTTTTATGGCTGCATAGTATTCCATGGTGTATATGTGCCACATTTTCTTAATCCAGTCTATCATTGTTGGACATTTGGGTTGGTTCCAAGTCTTTGCTATTGTGAATAGTGCCGCAATAAACATACGTATGCATGTGTCTTTATAGCAGCATGATTTATAGTCCTTTGGGTATATACCCAGTAATGGGATGGCTGGGTCAAATGGTATTTCTAGTTCTAGATCCCTGAGGAATCGCCACACTGACTTCCACAATGGTTGAACTAGTTTACAGTCCCACCAACAGTGTAAAACTGTTCCTATTTCTCCACATCCTCTCCAGCACCTGTTGTTTCCTGACTTTTTAATGATTGCCATTCTAACTGGTGTGAGATGGTATCTCAATGTGGTTTTGATTTGCATTTCTCTGATGGCCAGTGATGGTGAGCATTTTTTCATGTGTTTTTTGGCTGCATAAATGTCTTCTTTTGAGAAGTGTCTGTTCATGTCCTTTGCCCACTTTTTGATGGGGTTGTTTGTTGTTTTCTTGTAAATTTGTTTGAGTTCATTGTAGATTCTGGATATTAGCCCTTTGTCAGATGAGTAGGTTGCGAAAATTTTCTCCCATTTTGTGGGTTGCCTGTTCACTCTGATGGTAGTTTCTTTTGCTGTGCAGAAGCTCTTTAGTTTAATTAGATCCCATTTGTCAATTTTGGCTTTTGTTGCCATTGCTTTTGGTGTTTTAGACATGAAGACCTTGCCCATGCCTATGTCCTGAATGGTATTGCCTAGGTTTTCTTCTAGGGTTTTTATGGTTTTAGGTCTAATATTTAAGTCTTTAATCCATCTTGAATTGATTTTTGTATAAGGTGTAAGGAAGGGATCCAGTTTCAGCTTTCTACATATGGCTAGCCAGTTTTCCCAGCACCATTTATTAAATAGGGAATCCTTTCCCCATTGCTTGTTTTTGTCAGGTTTGTCAAAGATCAGATAGTTGTAGATATGCGGCGTTATTTCTGAGGGCTCTGTTCTGTTCCATTGATCTATATCTCTGTTTTGGTACCAGTACTATGCTGTTTTGGTTACTGTAGCCTTGTAGTATAGTTTGAAGTCAGGTAGCGTGATGCCTCCAGCTTTGTTCTTTTGGCTTAGGATTGACTTGGCGATGCAGGCTCTTTTTTGGTTCCATATGAACTTTAAAGTAGTTTTTTCCAATTCTGTGAAGAAAGTCATTGGTAGATTGATGGGGATGGCACTGAATCTGTAAATTACCTTGGGCAGTATGGCCATTTTCACGATATTGATTCTTCCTACCCATGAGCATGGAATGTTCTTCCATTTATTTGTATCCTCTTTTATTTCATTGAGCAGTGGTTTGTAGTTCTCCTTGAAGAGGTCCTCCACTTCCCTTGTAAGTTGGATTCCTAGGTATTTTATTCTCTTTGAAGCAATTGTGAATGGGAGTTCACTCATGATTTGGCTCTCTGTTTGTCTGTTATTGGTGTATAAGAATGCTTAAAGAAGTCTTTCTCAAGAATGTTTTGTGATTAAAAAAATATATATCCTTCAGAAAGTTTCCCTGGCTAGCAGAAGCAAAGAAAGATCGGTAATGTATTTAATAGATAAAACTACTTCATCAAATAAGACATTGTATAATGATTATCAGTATTAAAATGCCAATTTGTATATTTTCATGTATCTTTTACTCAATCAAAACAATGTGAAATTTCCTTGAAAATACTATGTTCCCAAGCTTCCAAGGTTTTTAAGAAGAGACACAGCCCTTTGTAGGGTGCAGAATTCACAGGTGACATTTTCTTCATTTGGTGTACTTGGCATTTCCTTAAAAGGAAAGCTCATTAACATTTATCAAATCTGTTTTGATATTCTATCTACCTGGTAAACTCACTTACGGACTTGTTTATGCCCATGGTTGTAAAATTGCAACACTGTTTTCTTGATATTTAGTATCTATCAATTATTTGAAAATCCACAGGCTGGGCAAATTTTACTAAGAAAATAGAAAGTACTGGACTCAAAATCAGATGGGATACTTCTCATTAATTTAAAGAAAATATGGTAAAATACACCTTGTTCATTTGGGATATATCTCTCTTTGTGTGTTAGTGTTTAATATTATTCCAACATTCAATGAAACATTTATTTTTACCTCTTGAATAACTTATTTCATTGTTTTTATTATTTCTATGTACAGGAAGGTCTTGGTTCTTTTATAAATCTGATGTAGTCTAGGTACTTTTCCCAGGCTCCATATCTTTAAATGTAAAAAATAATTATTCAGCATCATTCATATTTCAGCATCTGTGTTTATCACCTGGAATCTGTGCTTTCTGTGCCATCCCACTTTCCAAGAGACTTTCTCAAACATCTGTCTCATTTTTATTGATTTTAGAGAATCCAAGTTAGAAATCAAGTATTTTTTGTTGTTGTAGTAGCTGCTAAAAGAAATAAATTTATGGCATTGCCCAGAGAAAAGAGACCCAGGCAGCTTAATTTTTCAATTTAGTTTCTTTTTTTTCAGTTTTACTTATTTGTTTTTTAACTTTCATTCGCAAACAGATTTGTTTTCATACAGTAGAGCTACCTGACTTGCCTGAAGACACATCAAATCCCAAAGTGTAGTTAGTTATTCTTCATTTACTTGTCAATACATTGGGGCCATTTTATCTGTATTGCCTATGGAAGTAAATCAGACAAAAAGTCCTAACTTCTTGGACTGAATTACCATGTTGACTGATTTATCTGATCAATTCTATTAAAATAATCCAACCAGTGGAATGTCTAAAAAATATAAAGGCATGAAATAATTCTAAACCTCTGACACCTATAATAATATCCTGCTGCATTTAAAAGTTAAACTCAGACACAAAAGGCAATACAGTTTCTCAACACAAAAACATCAATTATCTAATAAATTGCATTTGTTGAAATAGCCATTTTCCTTTCAGTCGTCTGAATAGTACATCTGACAGGGGCCAATAATAAACCGCTCTGATAGTCAGTTCACATGATGATAGCTGTCTAGCAGCTGTTAACTGAGATAGTGTTCTAAGTCAGAGAGAGGATGTAGTATATTTCTGGTGTGGTGTCATTAATTCTGAAAATTACCTTTAACCAACAGCACTCAAAGTACTATAATAGTATTTTAAGTTTGGCCCAAAGTGACTTTCATGTCAGCTGAGCCTAAGGTTTTCTCTTTCTGTGCATAGTGAACTGTAGCCTAACTGGATGTGTAATCGGACTGTAACCTACTCTTGGACCAAGTAGCCGAGTCTCAGCCAATCACAGAGGCCATACTTCAACTACTAACAGGCAACCAACTGTTAGTGTTCACCTAAGACAAACTTATAATCTGGCTGTTTCAGTACCTCACTTCCGTTTTCTATATATCGCTTTCCTTTTTCTGTTCATAAATCCTTTCTGACCACAGGACAGCCCTAGAGTTTCTGTAAACTTTTTCTGGTTTGAGTGGCTGTCTGATGTGCACATTGTTCTGTGCTCAATTAAACTCTGCTTAATACAATTTCTCTGAAGTTTTCTTTTCACAGTAACTTCTACTTTTCTTAAATATTCATTGAAAACAGTATTCTAGAAAATAATTACTCAGTTCTTTATAATATAGACTTCTAACATTGTTTAAATTGTTATTTTGAATAACTGGAAGAGAAAAAAATACTTTTCTCAATTTTCACTGTAATCATTTGTTTTCATGACATATAGTGATATCAATAAAAGAAACAGGGCAAGAAAAATTTAAACTTTAGACAGCAGCATAATTTTTACCTCTAAAGAAAGATTCCTTATTCCATTATTGGTATTCTGTTCTATGCCTTGAAACACATTCTGTCTGTCTGGTTTATTCAAAAGTGCATTATCATTTGAAGTGACTTTTACTTCAAGGCCACCTAAATATGCTATTATACATCAATGAAAATATCAGATAATGCATGTCTATTTCATGCAAATACTGTTTTCTGCTTAATCCTTTATGGTTTTATTTAACCACTTTTTATATGCAACGTATAGTAATGAGGTGACCTTAGTAGACCATAATTATGTTAAGAATGATTTTCTTTTTTTGTGTGTGTGTGTCTAGTTCTTTTACCTGGACAGAATAGTGTGGGATCTATGAATAACAGCTACAGAGCAAAGTATTGATATATCAAAGGAGAGAGAATAAGCATTTGTTTTGCTTATCTCTTTGAATAATATTTGGGGGCACTATCTCTGTCCCATGCACTTTTTGATGACTAGACTGTATATATAATATGACATAATATTATGTACATATACATATTTTATATGTATCTGAACACTCTTCATTCCCATCACTATAGGCACAGAACTACATGTCAGTCCCATGCCTTTATCTACTTATTAGAGGTTTACCATTTACATCACGGAATTTTGTTCCGTGATGGAAAGTAAGACTATTTTTAAAAATTCACCTTGAAAATTATTTTCAAGTTAGTGTAATGATTTCGATGCTTCTCTAAAAAAAGAGACAAATATTTATTTTAAAAAAAAGAAGCATATTTTCAATTGAGTTTGGTTATGTAACTCATTTCCTGAAAACATTATAAATTGCAACATGTCCAGATAAAATGTTTAGAATGTAAATGTGAATGTTAACTTCAGACCAAAGGCATAATGCACAGCAATTGAAATAGAAATAGAGTCACATGTAAAGCAAAAGAGCATATGTCTAATATATTTCATATTATATACACATATATCTATTATACACTTGGTCTGAAAGTTAATATTACAAATATTGTAAGAATTTACATTTGTACATTTATATTATGTAACATATTTAATGATGTATATAGAGTATATGTCTATATCTAACACATTTTTTACTGCATGTAAAATATACTCTATATAACATAGAGCATTAGAAATACAGTATAATATGTGTATATGTTACATTGGGACTCTATGTGAAGTATATGTATATAACAAATTGGAACTATATTGTAATACACAGTAAATATCAATATGTATATTTTATATATTATATATTTGAATATATGTGTATATTTATATTTATATTTAAGACATATATCATAACATTATTAAGCATTATAAAAATTGTTATATCTTGTATAGATGTTTTCATAACTTATGCTTATTTATACCTTTTTGGTCAGGAATGCAAATCCTAATGTGTTTTTATGAAAATGAAAATCATGGCAATCTATTTGATGGTATACATGCTAGAAATAAATTGTACTAAAATTTTATGAAAGCCTATATAATTTGTTGAAACATTTTAAACATTTTTAATATCAAAAGTTATGTGAGTCTGTGTGTATGTATGCAAATGTACGAAAGCATATGTAAAATGGATGTGCTAAATAATTATAGATGCATTGAAACTGGGCCCAAGAGGGTATCAAACTACTGCCATGAGTATAAGCCATGCAGTCATTTTACCTTGTAAATTCAAAAGACGTAATCCACGCTATCTATGTGATTGTATATTAAAAGAAACAAGACAGATTTTAGCCAATATATAAAATGAAGATATAAAAATTTTATGTGCTTGTATCTCTTCTTTAGCTGCCACGTAATTGTCTTGTAAACTGACATGCCAACTCTATTGAGTCTTTAGGTAAGACAGCAATTCTGTGGTATGGGTAGACACTCCAAGTCTTAGTCAACAAAGACCTCGGGATTATTTTTAACAGATTCAAATAAAAGTGCTTCTCTCTTTGTTTTTTGTTCTGTTTTGAGTCTAGGATTTTACTTATTTTGATATATTTGAGAGAGATTGTTCCTGAATGGAAGGATATTGCTAGCTTCTGCCAGTTGGCTGCTGGCGAAGGTCTCGGACAGGAGGTAAAAACTATGAGATTCCAAGCCAACAATGAGGCAAGCCCACTTTACATAACAGGCTATCACTTGCAAACATAATTTTTGTTATATTTTTGTCATTGCTTTAGTAAAGTCTTGTCTAAATATTTCAGCATGATATTATCTAGGCTTCATGATATTTAGGAAATGTTGATATGTTCATACTTAAGCTAAAACAGTATGAAGAATATGCACTCACTGTCAGGGTGGTAGCAGTTGTTAGAATTTAGTAGAAATCCTTCAGGAAATTCTCAGTAAAATGGGACACCATTCTGAGGCCTGACTGTATTCCCCATGTGGAGATTCTCTCCCTAGCCAAGCTTGAAGAATTGGGATTATTTTCTTATTTGTTTCTCCCACTCCCTCCTCCTTTTCTTCTGTTTCCAGTATTCTTTTTTAAAGAAATTTCATATATGTATTTATGGAGATATATACATGACTGTAATTGGTGTGTTTGCGTGCACACGTGTGTGTGTGTGCGTCTGTGTGTGTGTGAGAAAACTGCAGTAAACCATTGATTGTCATTAGTTGGAGTAATCTCCTTATCCCTGTATAGATGATTCTATAGAGATACATAAACGTGATTTTAAAATCCATCTTCTTTGGTGAAGCATAGGACCCTATCTTTGTGTTGTTGTTGTTATACCAATATTTCATCTGTAACATTCTGCCTACACAGAATGAAGGAGGTAATGAAATGAATTTGTGATCCAGGTGGAAGAAATAAAATTAAAATAGAAGGAGGCTGATAAAATACATTTTGACAGAAATAGAGAAGTCTTCCTCTTTAAATGTCAAAAAGTTGCATAGAATGCAGTTGTGAGCTTTGATGGATTAACATAGAGATTTACACTTTACTAGAATTTTACAGATAATTTCTATATAACTGCCTAATAAAATGAAAACTGATAAATGTTTTAAAAAATACAATAATAGACTTCCATTTTTGGGAAATGGAGTAGACAATACTTTTTCATCTTTATCCCCATAAGGTATATGAAAACACCTGTAATATTATTGTAAAACTAATGGAAGAAGTCTCTGAAAGGTGGCAAGAACAAGGCAGACTGCCTAGGGACCTAAGACCCAGGAAAGGACACAGTGTGAAATTTTCAGATTTCCTTTTTGCTTCATGCACCCCAAGCTTAGAAAAAGCTGACAGTGGGTAAAGATGACAAAAGCCCCAACAGAAGCCTGTTCTTTCTAGTGAAAAAAGGATAAGGAAAGGGACACCATAGTAAGATAGAAAACGTTTATAGAGTAACGGTTCTACTCCCACAAACAACATAAAAAAAATGTGGCCTGACCCAACCCAGGGTGGAAAAGGCTGAGTAGGCAGCCTGAAGCTCCATGTTGACAATCTGTAAATGTAAAGAGTTTCCTGAACCATCATGCCAGGGCGGTGTCATAGTAAACCAAGTAGGGAATCAGGATCTTTCATCTCATTATTAGGTAGTAACAAGTCTCCTTCCCCCAAATATCAGTGGAGACCATATGGTGAGCCTTAACTGCTCATGATGAACACCCAGAAGTAGCAAGCTGTCCTTCCATTCTTCCTGCAGAGGTAATGTCAAAGAGGCCTAATGGAGATTCAAGACTTTCACCATCACCCAGCAGCAATGATGTCACCCAACTGGAGTCACATAGGAAGCAATAACTAGGAACTTCTACCACTCCCAGCCAGGTGAGAGAGGCCTAGAAGGAAGCCAGAAGTCTCATGACCACTCAGAAGTAACAAGAAGACCTTTTTCCCCCAAGTGTCAACTGTGGTCAAGTGAGGAACTAGAGTTTCTACCTGCACTGGCAGTAATGAGACAGCATCTCCTGTTTCCCTGCCAGACTCATACTGGTGAAACCAGCTAAAACAATACATTTAAATAAGATTCAGAATCCCATTACCTAATATCCCAATATTCCAAATGTAGAAAGAATCAATAGATGCTAACACTGAGATTATAACAATTTTAGAATTATCTGGTAAGTATTTTAAAGCAGCCACCATAAAAGCATTTCAACAAACAAATTACAAACATGCTTGAAACAAAATTTTTAATAGAAAGTTTCAGCAGAGAAACAGAAATTTTCAGAAAGATATAAAACAAAGGAAAAACAAATGTCATATTAGAATGGAAAAATAAAATTTCCAAAATAAAAACCTCAATCATGTGCTCAACAGTACCATGGAGGAGGCCTAGAGAGAGGAGAAATTGTCAAACACTGGCACATCACTGGGCCAGACAGTCTCAGAGGCCATGGAACAGAAAGGTGTCTCAAATTGAGATGGTAAAATCTTGAGGAATTCATATTCTACAGTTAAAACATAAAACTAAGAGCAAAAGAAAAGATATGAAGTAAGTTAATACAATTAGGATAGTTTGCAGATGAGATGGAAGAAGCACACTATGAAATCCTGATTACGCAGTATTCTATGTTCTATCTTTTTAATTTTTTTCCTTTGCTGCACCAGGCTTCCTTTCTAAGCAAGATGTAAAGGTAAACAAAAAACCTTGACTGCCCCTGGCAGGTATGCTTGGCTGCATCAATAACTCATTAATAAGCTGCTGAGAACTATTCTTTTTCTCTGTGTGTCTTTGCCAGACATGTGGGACAAAAAGTGTGTCACAAAGCACGTCTGATTTAAGAAAGTTGTGAATCTGAAGGTATTTAGGAAGATTTGATTTGCTCAATTTTTAGACAATGTTAATTATACTTATGCTCCATTTATTCCACATGTATCCACTATGTCTAAAAGGTTTGTGGAAGGAAGGGCAAATAAAAATTTAAAATAAGAGGCTTAATTCTGCCTGTTGAATCCAAGAGAAGTGATCCTTTTACTTGGAGTATTTATTTTAGAAATCATATAAATACTTTCCCCTCTCTTTGAAATGCATATAAATTCTTTAGAAAACTAGATAGGTTTATTGTCAGATCAATAACCCAGAGATTTCTTTCTCAAGGTCCTGGAAGCCATTTCTTTGAAATGTAAACATCAAGGGAGATCTTACCCCTATTTCACTGTTTCTGTGGGAGGGTAGGAGCCTAACTTAAGTAGGTGCCTTGCTCCGCTTTGCAAAACCTGTTATAAACATATGAGAAGTTTGTTTCTTCTCAGAATAAAGCCAATTATCTAAAACTGATGATGACTCCTGCTACCAGGAAAGTTTAGGATGATACCAAGTCCTCTTACTTGAGGGTTAGTTTTTGTTTATCTTGAAAACGTTCATGAAATAGGTTGTATCTGCTTGGTTATTTAAAAAAAGTGTGAGGTTTTTTCCTGACTTGGCAGTGTCTTAGTGGATTGCCTATGATGTACAATGCTTGTTTAATAACAAAATTGGTTTCTTTCTCTACTACCTTTGTGTAGAGGATTTCTTGATTGTTAATTGATTTTGTTTTTAATTGTGTTTTCCCAACATTAGTAACTTAGTATCGATATTTAACATGTCTTATGAATTTTCCCCTTTTCTCACAAAATACTTTCATAATTACTTGTGACTGAACACATCATATGAGTTTTTCCAGTTGTTCTATTTACTTGATTTTTGTTTATTCTCCATAACAGATTCAAATGTTCTCAAATTGTATAACATACACAATTTGCATCTCTCACTTCTAAAAAGTTAGTGATGCAACTGTAAGCTAGAATAAGGAGGACATGGCAATTTCAAATCTTTAGTCCAGCTAGTTTGAGACCAGGAATTGAAAAGTTAGAGCTCGAGGACCACATCCGTGTTCCATTTCCCCTTACAGAAAGAAAATAGTTTAACCAGGATTGCAAATATAAAAATAAATAAGCTCTCTTGAGTATTTCCAGACACATATGCAGAAGAGACACTTGAAAAAAGGTTGAATGTCCTTCAATGAGCCAATGACAGCTTGTAGACGTTATAGTATTTTCCTAAATGTTAATGTAATTTAATTTGTATGCTAATAAAGTAACCCATGAAATAAAGATAAGTGTTTCATTTTGGAAATGTTATCAGTATGGAAAGGCATTGGAAAGACACTGGCTCTCACTACAACATTCCTATTTAAATTTAACTTGATATGGAAGCACTTTAATTCCATGAGTTGTACTTCCCAATATGTAGCTGCTAATATGGCTGCTAATATGACAATTTTTGCATAGGTTTTAATTGATGCAGTTAAAATTATTTGGCACAAGCTGACATAATCTGTATCTCTCGAGTGATATAGTTTTTCTGAACAGAAAAAAAAAGATACAGAAATATTTACAGTGCTCGCCTCTTCTCAGCACACCAAAGAAAGAACTATTTTCATTCCTACCTTCTTATCTACGGTCTCTTTCAAAGCAAACAGATTTCTGTGATGCAGAATTAAAGACTTGATTAGAAGTCTTTAATTCTAATCAGAGAGGAGGCAGATAACTAGAATGTCTTAGCAAAGAGATATAAAGTCAACGTACATGATAAAAAGACAGGGGTAATCAGGAAAGGGGAAACTCAGAAGGAGCTACCTTTCATAGGGAATGTAGAGGAGGTTGGGTAGAGGAAGTGGTAGGGGTTAGTAAAGGAGAATGTCTTAAAAAATACAAGGCTTGAAAAAAATTACAAAGAAAAAGTATTCTTGGGATGATCTCTGGAATTTCACTTTTAATGTTGCCTGATGATTATACACAAAGAAAAAGACTCTTCTTAGAATTAGATTTTTTGTGAATGTGACATCATTTAAACTATATAGGGCTAGCTTCAATAGGTTCACAATTGAGGAGGCCAGGCAGCTTCTCTGAGACAAGTAATGGTCAGGCACACCTAAGGCTAATACTGTTCTCTGTTACACTAAGCTTGAAGCAAATTATTAAACTATGGGTCATGGAAATGGGTCTCTAATTATGAGTCAATGTGATCCTTGGAATAATTCTTTGATATATTAACAGTATTTTGGAAAGAATGACATTCAAATTTGCAAATTAAGAAATATGTGCTATTTGAAACTGAATGTTCCAGGCAGATAGCTAACTAAATTTATTTAGTGATGCAAAAGTTAACTGGATATGGGGGAAAATTCACTGGGAAGAGGTAAAGTAGAAAATATTTTTTACTTCCTGTTTACTATGTATTAATAAATTAAACTTCATTTATATAATTATACAAGTGTGAGGCCAAATTTATTTAAGCTAATTCAAAGCTAATGCTAGATTCCATTATTGCAAAGACATTCATTTGGGTTATAAAGAACAATGTTAGGAGACATATGATTTAAAAAGCTTTGGAGCTGCTGGCATGGAAATCAGCAATAAAAAATTTGAGAAGGCAGAGATAATTAATGAGCTAGGATTCAAATAAAGTGACTTTGAATTATGGTTGGAATATGTCTCAGAAGTCACACATGGAGAGATAGGCTCAGAGACAAAAGACAATGCCAGCTTGTGAGAATTTATGATGACTGTCATAAGGGTCATTTTTGACACAAATCCATAAAGGGTGACAGTTATGCATATGACTAGAATAAGCGCCTAATAGAATGGACAGTAACTGGAATTCATGTTCTGAATTCAATACAGCAAGCCAGCGACCCAGGGAAAAGTTGTCTTTTTTTGTTCTCCAAATGGAAGAATTATTCTTGTGGGCTATCTGCTAGCAAGCCACAGAATTAAGCATTTCAGATAAAATTACATAAGGATGATGTACAGTTAGAAATAATAAATAATATAATACACAATATTTTTTGTTCTGAAGGACATCTGAATTATAACAGTTGGTAAATTTAAACATGGGTAGGAGGAAATGGTAGATAGCTTTGTTGGTCAACAAAGAATCAGGACCAAATAATATAATGCAAATCGTAGATACCTGTGGGACTTAAGTTGGAAGTTTTACAAACATGGTCCCATATGTTGGATATGCCAACTTCCTCAAGATGGAAAAATAATGAAAACAAAAGCCAATATACAGATTTCCTAAACCCAATTGTTCAGTCATAAGATCCTTAAAGAGGCAACTTTTATACTTCAAGCTGGAAGCTGTGCTCCTAATTTATTTATTATCAGAAGATTGGGTCATAATATCCTCTGTTGTTATTCAGTGACTTATTTTCTGATTCTTTTATGACCTATAGATAGGTTAAATCTTGATACTTTAAAAGTCAGGAAATAACAGATGCCAGAGAGGATGTGGAGAAATAGGAACGCTTTTACACTGTTGGTGGGAGTGAAAATTAGTTCAACCATTGTGGAATACAGTGTGGCAATTCCTCAAGGATCTAGAACCAGAAATGCCATTTGACCTAGCAATCCCATTACTAGGTATATACCCAAAGGATTATAAATCATTCTACTATAAAGACAAATGCACAGGTATGTATATTGTGGCACTATTCACAATAGCAAAGACTTGGAATCAACCCAAATGTCCATCAATGATAGACTAGATAAAGAAAATGTGGCACATATATACCATGGAATACTATGCAGCCATAAAAAGGATGAATTCTTGTCCTTTGCAGGTACATGGTTGAAGCTGGAAACCATCATTCTCAGCAAACTCTCACAAGAACAGAAAACCAAACACCACATGTTCTCACTCATAAGTAGGAGTTGAACAATGAGAACACATGGACACAGGGAGGGGAACATCACACACTGGGGCCTGTAGAGGGGTGGGGGGCTAGGGGAAGGATAACATTAGGAGAAATACCTAATGTAGGTGATGGGTTGATGGGTGCAGCAAACCACCATGGCATGTGTATAACTATGTAACAAACCTGCACGTTCTGCACATGTACCCCAGAACTTCAAGTATAATAAAAAATAAATTAATTAAATTAAATTAAATTAAATTTTTAAAAAATGTAAAAAAAAAGAAATTTTAAATACTAGTACCAAACTTACTTTGACTATGGAAAAAGATTTTTAAAATATAGTCTCTTTATTCCTCATTTCCTCTCCATAGCAAAACTATTGGAAGATATTTAATTCTCAGATTAATTCTTTTCCTAAAAAATATTTATTCTTCTATGGTTTGTTAAGGGAGATTATAATGGAATCAGCTGGTTTCCAAATGAAAGCATCTGCAGGAAGGAAGAGGTAAAGGCAGAAAAAGAAAGAAATTTGAAGAAAAAGATAAAAAGAGGAGAGAAGGATAAGATGATTATTGGATTTTATTTTGATATTGGTGATTGGAGGGATGTGTGTGTGTTTTTGTATGTGTGTGTAGAGCATGATGAAGAATAATGTGGAACCATGTGATAGGATACAATTTGTTATTGAATATACTAAGAAACATTATTTTTGTGGGTACATAGTAGGTGTATGTATTTATGAGGTTCATGAGATGTTTTGATATAGGCATGCAATGTGTAATAATCACATCATGTGAAATGGACTAAGCATCCGTCTCCTCAAGCATCTGTCTTTTTTGTTATAAACAATCTGATTATATTCTTTTAGTTATTTCAGAATGAGACAGCCAGGTGGGAAGGGGTTCCCAGAGAAACTCCAACCAGCCTGCACACTGGGGGAGTGCACACTGGGGTGGAGCCACTAAAGTCAGTGCTGTTTATAGTGGAAAGGAGCCTAGGCCCTCCTTTTCCTGTATGGAGCCTGGAATTCAATCTGTGAGGCAGAAAGCCTAGACTAGAAGGACTCTCACTCTGCTGAGTCCCTGTTTCAACCCTTTTTCTTCCTTTTTGCCCAATAAATCCCATTATTCTCACCCTTCAAATTCTCTGCAAGCCTAATCTTTTGTGGTGACAAGGGCCCTTCTTTAGCTGAACTAAGGAAAATACCTGCAACAAAAATGTAGAATTAAATTATTATTGACTATAGTCACTCTGTTGTGCTATCAAATACTAGGTCTTATTCATTCTTTCTGACTCTTTTTTGTACCCATTTTCCAGCCCCACATCCTCCTTACACCCCCCCACCCTTCTCAGCCTCTGGTAACCATCCTTTTATTCTCTGTCTCCATTAGTTCAGTTGTTTTGATTTTTAGAACCCCAAAATGAGAATGTGATGTTTGGTCTTTCTGTCCCTGGCTTATTTTACTTAGCATAAGGACCTCCAGTTTCTTCCATATTGTTGCAAATTACATTATTTTGTATGGCTGTACTCCATTTTGTATATATATATACTTTATATATATATATATACATACACACACACATACCATATTTTATTTATCTGCTGATTTGTCAATGGACACTTAGGTTGCTTCCAAACTTTGTGAATAATGCTGCAACAAATATGGGAGTGCAGCTATCTCTTCAATATATTGATTTTCTTTTTAGGGAGTATATATCCAGCAGTGGGATTGCTGGATCATATAGTATCTCATTTTTAGTTTTTAAAGAGCTTCCAAATTGTTCTCTATGTTGGTTGCACTAATTTGCATTTCCACAACAGTGTACGAGGGCTCCCTTTTCTCCACATTCTCACCAGCTTTTGATTTTACTTGTCTTCTGGTTATATGCCATTTTAACTGGAGTACAATAATATTACATTGTAGTTTTGACTTGCATTTCTCTAATGATCAATGATGCAGAGAACCTTTTCAAATGCCTGTCTGTCATTTGTATGTCTTTTTGGAGAAATATCTATTCAAATATTTTGTCTATTTTTAAAATGTATTATTAGGTTTTTTTCTATAGATTTGTTTGCACTCAGTATATATTCTGGTTATTAATCTCTTGTCAAATGGGTAGTTTACAAATGTTTTCTCCCATTCTGTGGGTTGTCGCTTCACTTTGTTGATTGTTTCCTTCACTGTGCAGAAGCTTTTTAACTTGATGTGATCCCACCTGCCCTTTGGGCTTTGGTTGCCCGTGCTTGTGTGGTATTACTGAAGAAATTTTTGCCCAGACCTATGTCCTAGGGAGAGCTTCCTTGATGTTTTCTTGCAGTAGTTTCATATGTTGAGGTTTTACATTCCAGTTTTCCCAGACAATTTATTGAAGAGACTGTCCTTTCCTCAACATATGTTCTTGGCACCTTTGTTGAAAATGAGCTCAATGTAGATGTATGGATTTTTCTCTTGGTTCTCTATTCTGTTCTATTGGTCTATGTCTCTGTTTTTATGCAAGTGTCATGCTGTTTTGGTTACTAGAGCTCTGAAGTATAATTTGAAGTCAGGTAATGTGATCCTTACAGTTTTGTTCTTGGTGAGCATAGCTTTGGTTATCCTGGGTCTTTTACAGTTCCGTATAAATTTTAGGACTTTTTTTCTGTTTTTGTGAAGGATGTCATTGATATTTTCATAGGGATTGTATTGAAACTGTTGATTGCTTGGATAGGATGAACATCTTAACATTATTGATTCTTACAATCCATTAACATTGAATATCTTTTTATTATTTGGTGGTTCTTTTCAATTACTTCGATCAGTGTTTTATAGTCTTTATTACTTTTTATAGTTTTTTTGTAGTTTTCATTACTTTGCTTAAATTAATTTCTCAGTACTTAATTTTATTTGTGGTTATTGTAAATGGGATTACTTTTCTGATTATTTTCAGATTGTTCACTGCTGGCACATAGAAATGCTACTGATTTTTGTGTATTGATTCTGTATCCTTCACATTTACTGAAGTTTTATTAGTTTTAACATTTTTTTTGGTGGTCTTTAGGTTTTTCCCAATATAAAATATCATTTTCAAGCAAGGATAATTTGACTTCTTCCTTTCCAATTTGGATGCCCTTTATTTCTTTCTCTTTTCTAATTGTTCTAGCTAAGACTTAAGAGAAATTATTGATTCCACCCCACAAATCTCCTCCTATCTCTATTTAACATTACTTAAAAAAGAATTTGTGAAAGAACTTAGTCATATTATACAATAAAGAAATTAAAGAAAAATGATATAAGAAGGCAAATGATACACTGTGTGCTGAAGGCAGAGAGATGATTTTTGAAGGGTTCAAGTTTGGCAACCAAAAATGATGTTTGAAGGCTGAGTGATTAGTGACTAAGATGTTCCAGAGAATATATTTTGTGAGGAAAATGGCAAAAGATAAAAGTGACAGTAAAAGGAGAAAAGGGACTATAGAATTACTGTGGTGCTTCCTGATTGAATCCTATTTAACACCAGTTGAGAGCAGGAATATATAATGGACTTACTTTTGTTGCTTTCTGTTTATCACAACACAAATGTTGCATAAGCATTACTCATAACTTGCAGAAAATGCAGCTTCACTCTTCAGTCTTCCACTGTTCATGTTAAACTTCACTCAGTGGGAAGAGGTGTTTTCCCTGACATCAGACTAGAACTTAAAAATGCTTACGCACTGGCTGGGTGCAGTGGCTCATGCCTGTAATCCCAGCACATTGGGAAAGCCGAGGCAGGGGATCACGGGGTCAGGAAATTGAGACCATCCTGGCTAATACGGTGAAACCTGTCTCTACAACAAAATACAAAAAATTAGCCTGGCGTGGTGGCACGCACCACCACATGCCTGTAGTCCCCAACTACTCGGGAGGCTGAGGCAGGAGATTCGCTTGAACCTGGGAGGCAGAGCTTGCAGTGAGCCGAGATCGCGTCACTGCACTCCAGCCTGGGCAACAGAGCGAGACTCCATCTCAAAAACAAAAAAACAAACAAAGAAACAAAAAAGTCTATTTACTTTGAGAAAATGGCAGTTTAATAGTCATTTTGTCACACATACAGTCTCCATTCAATATCTAAAATGTGCAGTAAAACATATGAATCATAAATTTGAAGTTGATTTGACAGTAAAATCGTTCTTCTCACAGTTTAAATTTGATAGCAAATGGAAACTCATAGTGCAAAGAAAATAACACAGTTCGAGTCTTCCTTCTTCCCCTTTTTCCCATTTCTCCTCTTCACCTCCTTTGTGGCTTACTAGCCAATTCTGAAGTCTACTAGGTAAGATTTATAGCTAAGGAGAGAAGAGTATACAAAAGATTTTTCTGTATTATTTCATCCCTGAGAACGGCTAATATTTAAATATACCTCTCTTTCACTGGGTCTGACTATTGTGTCCTCTTTCCTGGGCAGAATAACCTCTATTCCAGAAGATCAATTGCTTTCTTTTAGCCCCAAGAAATCCACTCATTTTCACCTTTTTGATATGGGGTTTTCTTACTTCTCTAGGCAGTCATTTTACAGAGAATAATATCTATACGCTGACAGTTTTTTTCGTATGGCTATACACTGATCCATTCTTTGCCCCATACAAATTCTGGAAGTGCGAGTTTATAACATTGTAAGTCTTTTTTTTTTTTTTTTTTTTTAGCTTAGCTTGGTTTGTCAGAATAGGTCTGGTACCAGTACTCTGTTATTCTAGGCCACAGGAAAAATAAACTATATAAAAGTTTCCATTACTAAGATGGAAGCAAAAGGATCAGCCTTCTGCATTCCTCCACACATTGGGATGCGAAAGGGAGACAGATGAGGACTTATACCTACCAGTTGCTCTCTCCCAAATGGACTGGATATTCTGACCCAATCCATCTTTATAGCCTTATTTTGTCTGAAGGCCCAAGAGTCATGGAACCAAATTTCATTATTTCTCTTTGTAAATTTTACATATGGTGCTTTTTCCTTGGAATTAACTTTTTTGTATTTTGAAGATGCGTTCACAGTTTCAATTTAGTATTGGGTTACCCACTTACCTTGTTTCTCAGGTGTGAATCATTCAAACCATGTTAATTAGAGCTTTCAGAGAGCTATACCTGTAGAGAAGATTATACTTTATGGAGCCATCTTCATTTACTATTAAAATTCTATTTGGTAAAATAGAGGAGGATTCTTGTATGCAATAATGCAGTTAAGTAGCCTGAAAACAGAGAAGTAAAGTGACTTGATCAAAGTCAAACGGCTAGTACGTTCTAAGCACAAAATTCAATAGTGAAAAACACTGACTCTTAGCAAGGTGGTATTTTTATTATACCACACAAACATATGGATGAATTTCAGCAATTATTCTATTTTTGTGGAGAATAGGTCAGTTCTTTGCAGGCATATTTGAGAAAGGAAAATAATGGGTAGAGTCTTGACATTCTATAACCTTAAATTATTCACCTCATCATGCATCCACCTTTAATTTATAGTTGATTAGAATTTTCCAGTCCAACTTTTCCCTAGTGAAATGTTGATATGAATACTAAGAGAACATTTTACTCTGTGGATTCATTTGCTCTATAGGACAATGGAATGCTCTAATTCATAATGGAGTATTCAGCAATTCTTTCTTTTCTTCAGGTCTGTTACTCTAAATGGTTCCTGGGGTCTCTTCAGAGACAGGATTAGACATTTTGATTTTTATAATTTTGATTTAAGTTTTCATGACTGGTTCAAAAAGCAAATTGTATGCCAGATAATGTAATAAACCTTCCCTGTGGTGTTTTATTTTATTTTTTCTCATTTTGCTTTAAGAAATGTAGCAAAGAAAAAAAAATGCAGGAGAAAAGAAAACGCTTAGCTTAAAAAGCTGATATTTCAAGTAAATACGTCTTTTCCTTCTACCTTATTTTTTAAAATTAAGTGATTTGGAGGAAGAGTTGCAGTAGAGTGTCAACTCATTGTTCAATATAAATAATATATTTCCACAAGAGACTAAACAGAAATATGAAGGATTCATGGGAATTTATATGGAAAAGGCCAAATAAATTAAAAAGTTAACAGCATTTCCCCAAGTCAGAAATTCATTTCCATATTAAGGTTAAAAAAATCAGGACCTTTCCATTTAACAATCTGAATATATTTCCTACATGAGAAAATAACAGAAGAAATGGAATTAGTGAGTCTGCAAAGAATCTCTACATGAAGTTACTATTTCTATTCATCCTTTGTTCTTCTAAGTAACTAGTCTAGTGACTTTAATCTCAGTAGACAGTAGATTGTCAAAGGAATGCATTCAATAGTAGGGGTGAAAAGGGAGAAGGAGATACACTGATGTAAAAAGTCTTTGAAGATGTCTTAGCAAGACAGTAGGCTCTTATTACACAAACTTTGATTTTAAATAGTGGCTGAATTAAGCTTAAATAAAACAGGTTCATGTATCTAAAAATCATCTTCTGATAAAAAAAGAGACCAATATAGCAACTAAATGCTATTCCTTCTTTTTTAATAAAAGGCAGTGATATTTTACTGTGAATCACTGTAAAACCTTGTGTAGGGTTCTTAATGTGTCTCTGATTAGCTGGCTATATACCACATGGCAGTTGCAAAACAATTTCCCTATATAGTGTAATACTTCTTTTCCCAAACAGCAAAGGAAACTATTTTCTATTATTCTATAATATAAAGACAGTAGCTTTTTTCTTGTCTTCAATAGCTCTGGATCATTTACATTTAGAAGGTACCTAAGTCTTTGTAGATTTCAGAGAAATGTATGTATTATGTATGTAAATTAGAACACATCAACATATAAACATATACAGTCAGTCTTCATTATTTGTGAATTCTGCATTTGCAATTTTCTTTTTTACTAGCTAAAATGTATTTGTAATTCCAAAATCAACACTTGTGATGCTTTCTAGGCCATTTGCAGATATGTGCCTGTGCATATCTGCACAAGATTTGAGATTCTCTATGAATACATTCCCAGCTGAGGTCGAACAGAACTTTCCTGTAAACAAGTGTCCTTTTTGCATTTATTTAGTGCCACTTTTTTGCATTTTTGTCCTTTTTGGTGATTTTACTGTTTAAAATGCTTCCCAAGTATAGCGTGTTAAAGTGTTTTCTAGTGTTTCTAAGTGCAAGAAACTGTGATGTGCCTTATGGAGAATATTTTTGTGTTAGGCAAACTTCATTCAGGCATGATTTATAGTGCTGTTCTCTGTGACTACAAAGTTAATGAATTAACAATATATATTAAATGCAATGTCTTTAAATAGAAACGCACATAAATCAAGGTTATGTATAGATCAGTTTTTGAAAATCCTATGACCAAAGGCTCACAGATATCTATCCCTGTATTTCTCCTAGGAACAATGGGTCAATATTTGCCAGTTCGATGTTGGTGGCAGCCTTATAGAACATAATAAACTTGAATAACAAAAATTGACTCTGTGTGTATGAATGTTGAAATATCTGTCTGTGATTTGTTGCTTCCTCTTTTTGATATCTTATTTAAGGAAAGTTCTCTAGCTAAACTGTGTCCTTTCTTTCATTTTTAGCATTTTTTAAAAGAAATGCTGGGAATGAAAGGGTTGGGTCAAAAAATTGATCTTGTAAGAGTTTTGACTTGTATCCCAATTAAAGTTAAGTTTTTTTGTAAAAAAAGAAATTCATTTAACGCACTCATTTTTGAAACACTTACTATGTGCCAGAGACTATTCTAAACACCAAAGATATAGAAATGAGAAAGGTGAGATTCCATATAGGAATCATAGTCTGTTAGGAAAGATCAACATTTAAAAAGCTCAGTATAATACAACGTAATAAGTGTTATTCTAGTGGTGTAAACAAAATTCTAAGGTAAAACTAAGAAAGCAATCAATGATTAAGGGAACTTGGGAAGTCTTCCCAGAGTAGGAGAGAAGGAGACAATTACATCATATCTTAAAGAATGAACACTTTTCAAAAATAATATGGAAATGGGGGTATTCAGGATATTAGTTAAGCCACTAAAAACTCATGGAGAAATGAGAGGAAGTTCAAGGCCATAATAAAGAATACTAAGTATAATCCAAAGGTTACATAAAAGAGGCATGTCAGAAAAGCTAATAATATAAAGGTGGATTATCAAAGTTATCACTTTGCCAACTGGGTAAAAGTGCTAAATTTTGCTACGTATTTTCGATGGGTACAGAACATTTCCCAGGACAGTTCTGGCTCTCATCCTCCACTGGTTGAGGATTAACTCTATACTTCTGGGTTGTGCGCACAAAATGGGACTCCTATGACTTCGGATAAAGTCCTCTGGTTAGGAATTAGATAGAGACATAGCATTTGCTTTTTATGGGATACTCTCAGGATGATATAAGTTTGATTTTGCATGTAACTGTCCAACACAACTGTGGATAAAAGCAGAGATGAGCTGTACCAAGTGACATGGGCACCAGAGGCAGGTGCTACACCATGTGAGCCTGAGATCTTATATGTGCATACGAATCAGGTGGGGTGCATATATATTATTAGGATTTTATTTCCTACCAACACAATGAGTGGAGGCTTGAAGCTGAGTAATTTGGCTTGAAGTATTAAATGAATATAACAGCTTGGTTTTTACAGGTGAGCACTTATACTTGCTATAAAGGTAATACTTAAAATATGAAGTACAACACTGAACACATTTGCATCTCTCAATGTATTTTAGTTTCCCATTTCTATATTCTTCATTTGTTCTTGCTTACTATATAAGGTCATCATGATAGAAGCGGCGGCCTGTCTGTAGCCGGCGCTGCAAAGAAGTCGGCTGCAGCGGGGGAGGTGCGATGAGGGTTGTGCCCTCACTGAGGCCAGTGAAAGCCAGAAACACGTGACAGCCGCCCCTATGGAGTTGGCGGAGCAGGAGCCCGAGCTCTTGCGTGCAGCTGCAGCAGCCCAGCTTGGCTCTGGACCCAGGCATCCCTGTACTCTCCAGCTGGGAAGCCCCTAGCCCCTGCAGGCTTGGACGTGCCTGCTCCTGGCCTCTCCTTGCTCCGGGTGCTCACTCCAGTGTGGATCAAAGTCGTGGCTGAGCCCAGGTGCTGCTGCAAGCCCAGCAGTTGTATGCACGCTAGGGTTGGTGCTGACATGCCAGCCCCCTCCGGACTTTGGGCACCTATGAGCATGGGAGGGAGGCCAGGAGGTCTGAGGGTGCTTGGTGCAGGCTTTCAAGTGACCCTCAGCATGAAAATCCTGGGCGCTGTGGAGGGCATGTTGATTGTGAGAGGCAGACAGGTTATTGAGTGGGAAGCGGCAGGTCCCCATTGAAAGCCCACCGTCAAGCCAGGGACAGCCTGAAACCTGGCAGCCAGGCTGCCGTTTCCAGGTGGGGTCCACAACCTGGAGTGAGAACTTATGGTGCTTTTTCTGGGCCCACTCAAGGCTGCCCATGGACAAATCAGCATGCACTTCCTCCTGTCTGTCAGCCAGACTCAGACAGCTATCCGAGCTACCAGCTGCTGGAAGGAGCTACCCACTTTGGGTGTCCTTGACTTCAGGATGACTTGCTTGCAGAAAGGAGCTACCCTCCACTATTGTCCTCTCTGCTGCGAGCTGGACACTCATTGGGATGACCTGCCTGCAGAAAGAAGACACCCATTTTGGGTCTCCTGGGAGCTGTTATGGCTCTCAGTGAAGAGCCTCTCTGCCTTGGTCACCTTCCGATTGTCTGCCTACCTCATTCTTCCTGGACACCATACAAGAACTTGGGACCCACTGAATGGAGAGACTAAAAGAACTGTAACACAAACAGGGCTGAAACACGCCCCCTACTTGCCTCATTGCAGGGGACAAGAAAGAGAGAAGAGCTGTGGGCCTTCTGGAAGACCAGACCTTGGGGATCACTGAGCCAGGGCTGTAACAGGCTGTAGCATTCTCTTTGGGGGCTCTGCAGTTCCTGGTATCTCAGAGCTTTCGGATGCCACCACGTTTCCTTTGTCTAGATGCTGGTGCCCGCTGCAGAAGCCTCTTGTCGTATATCTGGCCCAGCTGCAGCCTCACATGGAGCGGGCACCTGTGTGGGTGCCTAGAGCTGCCTGTCCCACCACAGGCAGGATGCCTGGCTGTGAGCAGTGGCTGAAGCCCTCACTGCTCCACGCCTGGCTGGCTCTTGGCAGGCATGGGATCCAGGCTGGTAATGTGAGCTGAGTGCAGCCTGCTAGACTGAGTGGGCAGAACAAGCCCAGCAGGCACAAGCAAAACCCAAGCAGAGTCACCACCAGCCACAGAAGTTTCTGGCTGATGAAATAACACTCTAAAGATCTGTGACAATTCTTGAATTTCTACGTAAATGCATGAGAGAGTCTATCGGCTTGTCTTTTAATGATGATGTTAATGAAATTATCATTATTATCATTAGCTATTGAGTATTGCCATATTCTAGATATTAGGTGGGGTTCCTTTTAAGTAGATTTTATTGAATAGCTATAACATATTTATGGTGCAAGTAATTACATAGGTGCTAGTGATGCCACCTTTGCCATAGTAATAGACAGGCTATAGAATCAGGATTTGAATCCAGTCTGTCTGACTCAGAAGGGTTTTATCTTGATCTAACTAAGTGGTTTTCTATTACATTGGTATATATTATTAACTGAATGTGTTCCCCAAAAAAATCAAAATGTGGAAGCATTAATCTCCAATTTGACCGTATTTGAAGATAGGGCCTTTAGAAGGTAATTAGGTTAAATGAGGTCATAAGAGTGAGGTTCTAATCTAGTACTATTAGTGTCCTTATAAAAAGAGACACCAGGGAGCTCACTGTCTCCTTCCCTCTATGTGCATCTCTGTGTGTCCTCTCCATGTAAGGACACAGTAAGAAGACAGCCATCTGCAAGCCAAGAAGAGAGCCCTGAGCAGTAACCAAACCCTGCTGGACCTTGATCTTGGACTTCCAGCCTCCAGAACTGTGAGAATTTACATTTCTGTTGTTTAAGCAAAAATATAAGCAAAAATATATTTATAAGTAACAGTGTTCCTGATGTTTAACAGGAAATAATTAACACTATAAGTGTTATTTCAATTATTGAAAAACAACAACAACTATGAATTCAATACCTCAAATTGAGAACAAGAATTTTGATATTTCTAGAGCTGTTGGCAGGTTCTTCTATACAGTGGAAAAAGTGTATTATACCTAGTATCTGAATTCACTTTTTATTGAATAGCAGGTACCACTAAGAAATATTTGTGTCTTTGTTTTTCTAATATATAAATATTGAATTGTTTCTGAAATAGAGCAAATTTGCTTTCTTTTTCAGAACAAGAAACAACAACATCTACTTGGAAAGATCTATAGTTTGTTTTATTCAAACAAACAGATTAAATCAATATTTGGTGCTAGGGCTAAGGAAATGGATATTACAATGGTTTCACAATAATATTGTAACAAAATTTGTGAATCTCTGTTCTTGCAAAATAAGTGTGCCAAAATTCCCCAAATACTTAAGATAAATGGAAAACAGGCACTTTCTCTGTGGATATTTCTGTGTGTATGGCATTAGACATACATAAACACAGTAGATTTCAAATTACATAAGGAAAATTGTTATTTCTGCTGTCTGTAAGTATGTCTTTGGATAGAATAAGCATATTTTAATATTAACTTAAGCGAAAATTTCAGTAAGGCATATCCACTTAATACTAAATACTAAATATCACTGAATGGATTATAGAATCAGATTAAAATGATATTTTAAATTTTGTAAGCCATTGTTTCTCTCTGCCCTCCTGTCCAATTACTGTTGGTACCAAGACCAAAGACTTGACTGTTTGTAATGTTGAATGCATATACAAGTTTGCCTGAATATTCCTACTGAGTTTTTAGACATATATGATTGGATCGGAATCCTAGCACTGTTGTGCAAACACAACAATGACAATGTTATCTCTAAATCATGTTTTAATAGACTGATATTCCTTTTCTTGTAATAAGAGGAAAGTAACCCTGAAAAACAATGTAGATAGATAACATTTAGTTGCAAGCAAGTTTTTTCTGATAACATAAGTTAAAGAAAAACAATATACCTAACGTAAATGACGAGTTAATGGGAGCAGCACACCAACATGGCACATGTATACATATGTACCAAACCTGCATGTTGTGCACATGTACCCTAGAACTTAAAGTATAATAAAAAAATACAAAAAAAGAAAAGCAACAATAATAAACCTGGTAAAATATTTAAATGTTCATATTTTACATGAAAAATTTTCTAAAAGCAAGAAATAAAAATGATAGAATAAAATACTTTTGGTCTATATAAACAAAGTAACCTACATATACTTACATAACTTTAAAAAAGGAATATTTAATTAATATATAGATTGAAAATGTAAGAAGAGATAGGATAAATGAGTAAGAAAATGTTAAAATAAATGAAATGAAAATATATATATAGGCTTTGTCTTGCTAGAGATTTTGAGTGTACTTTTAATCAAACAATGATAATAAATTCATGAAGTATAATCTGACACCCAGAATTTAATTTTACATAATGCTTAGGAAACAATGAAAGAAGAATTATAATATTTTAAATATGTCATTTATTAGGAGTCAGTGAAAATATTAAATATTCTAGTTAAATGTCTATATTTTCTAGAATATTTTATGTATATGTATGCACTCACATTTACATATAAAACAGAAACAATAAAGCACATATTAATAATTTTCAAAATCAGATAGAAAATGAAAAATAATCTGTATTATATCACAAGCAAAGTATAATTATGATAATTGTTACTACTGCTCTCATATAGCAACTTTATGTTGTAGGTATTATACATATATTAGCTCTAATCCTTACAATGATGAACTTGAAATTACATTATTACCTCCACTTTATAAACAAGTCAGAATACTTAAGAAATCTACTTAAAGTTAAACCATTAGTGAGTAGAGACATTGGATTTTAAAATTCATGCTCCTAAATCCAAACTGTAACTTCTTTATTCTTTTTAAATTAATTTAATTTAATTAGAATGTAAGAATTTAATTTAATTCTTTCTAAATTTATGTTGACTTATAGACTTGGAACTTCAGATATCTGTGCATAGAGAATGTCTCTATTTAGTGATCATGTATACTGGAAATATGGTAATTAGGACAAGTCAGTGGTTTCAAATAAAATATTTGTGTAAGTGTTCCTGCTTGGAAATGGTATTGTTTGCCTCTCTTTTGTTCCTGGAACTGCTTTGAAAAGCAAGAGAACTCAGATTGAGTGAACTGAGGTTTGGTTTGCTTATGAAGTGTGGGTGGTTAGCAAGATGTTAGTTTGGGACTTAGTTTCATGACATCTACAACACATGGGTAAAAAGACAGTCTTTGTATTTATTTCTAAAAGAATGAAAATAAAACATGCCTTTAAATAGGAACTGCCATGGGAACTTTTATTCTATAAAATAATGCTACTGTACAGAAATCTATTTCTCCTTTTCTATATTCTCCTATATATACGTGAGCGTGCGCACAGACACACACACACACACCCTTGAAATTTGAATTTCTTTTTTGATATCTTCAATTCTCTTTTTCCCATAACTGCTAATGTATCAACACGATTCTCTCATCTAGCTTTTCCGTAGTATTGTTTGTCGTATATTTTAACTATTTTCTTTTTTTGTCTCTTGTATTTTTTTCATTTCTTTTAACTATCATCTATTACATTCTTTTTTTAAAAGAAACCAAACTAAATAAAGCTGTATTTTATAGTTGTGAAGCTCTCAGTTGATTTATTTTCTGTGGATCAATGACCCTTAATAGGAAACAGTACCCCTTAGAGTAACATAGATTGTTCTTTTATAACATAAAAACAACCAGTCAATGCTGATAATCAATTTTCAAAATGATCACTTCAGTGACAGAAAAAAATTAAACTGGTTTGGTGCTATTGGAGAGACACAAATAACTCATTACCTTTAATTCTTTCAAAATTATTGTTACCTTTATAAGACTCAGAAATTACTATATTTATGCTTATTCTCTTTCAAATTATATGTCAGTGTCTTATGATGCAAGTCAACCGTCCGAAACCCAGGAATACAAGTATTCTGATTGTGTTTGAAGCTAGGCAGATATCTAGTTGGAGAATGACACTCAAAACCATTTGATATTGGTTCTAGTGACAACCTTTGGTCTGATAAAAAATACTTTATAGCAACATTTGTAGAAGAAGGCTTTTAGGGTACCAGTGTACACACTGAAATTCTCCAAAGTAAAAAGTTACGTGGTTATGAGAGCTGCCTAATCGTGTGGCAGCTGGGTAGCAGAACTGGGACAAAAACTTGGGATTTTACAATTGAAGACAGAGTTATTGCAGACATACTG
Source organism: Homo sapiens (assembly GCF_000001405.40). NCBI lineage: Eukaryota > Metazoa > Chordata > Mammalia > Primates > Hominidae > Homo > Homo sapiens. The sequence continues at coordinate 37,807,326 of NC_000011.10, read as the reverse complement.
GCTCTGGTGTGGAATTTCCTATGTTTGTGTTTTTATGTCTAAATACACAAGAGCACCCAAGACACCCTTGTCATCCAATTAAATATTTTTCTATGTTTATCAAATGTAGTGGCATCCAATAGAATCTTTGCAATTTTTCTAGCAAATACTAATGCTAAACAGGTATCTGTAATTCCTCATGAAAACTGTGATTGAGATATGCAAGAAGGATAGAAGCTTTACAGGGCAATTTGGGAGCAAATGTGATTACACCCATTTATACTGACATCCCCACTTGCTCACAAACAAACTCTTTTTATTTTGATATATTGACATAAATCATGGTGCTCATTTGATTTTTCCATCTGTAATTCTCCATTATTAAAAACAATCACATTTTCTACAAATGGGAACAGAAACAATACAGAACTCTTAATGTAATCTCATGTGGCATTGATCAGGTACAGAAGATTCAGTGGAGATGTAACAGACTTGGCAAGTGCAATTAAAAACAAACCTTATTTTTAATACTTTCCTAGATGGAATCCCAGTCAGTCCTCATAGCTTTTCTTGTCATGTCTTACTCATTCGGTAATTAAAAAGTCCACCCCCAATATAAAATGAAACTTGAATCTCTATCTAATATAACTACCCTCCTTCCCCAACACACATAGTTCGTCTCTTCTTCATGGTAGGAAATCAATAGGGCAGAAGGGAGAATAGTCAGTCCTCACTTTCTGGTATGATAGTCTCTCACCCACTTTTCAGTTGCAGTTTGTGGCCCATCAAGGTTCAAGTTGAAACAGAAAGGAGGGAAAAAAGAATGTGACTTCACTACCTGATGTGGTTTGGTTCTGTGTCCCTACCGAACTCTCATGTTAAATTATGATCTTCAGTATGATGGAGGGATCCGGCAGGAAGTAATCGGATCATGAGGGTGGATTTCCCCCCATGCAGTTCTTGTAATAATTCTCACGAGATCTGGTTGTTTAAAAGGGTGTAGAACTTCCCCATTTGCTCTCTCTCACTTGCCACGATGTGAAGACCTGCTTGCTTCCCCTTTACATTCTGCCATGATTCTGTGTTTCCTGAGGCCTCCCCAGCCATGCTCCCTGTTCAGCCTGCAGAACTGTGAGCCAATTAAACCTCTTTTCTTCATAAATTACCCAGCCTTGTGTATGTCTTTATAGCTGTGTGAGAATAGACTAATACAGTACCACAGCTGTAGTCTAGTTTGAGTGATATATTATAATGGTGGATGCACACTAACTGGCCCTTTTTTGAGTTTTTCCAAGATCCCAGAAGTGGTCTCTAATGGAAATGTTGATGAAGACAATGTCTTCGCTAGCTGTCTGCTTTTGAAATACCCCTCACATTTGCAACCGTTGGCTCTTTCAGTACTGTACTGGAGCTGGTTCATGCTGCCTAAAGAGAACTTGTGTTCATCTCTCCCCTATATGACATTGGAAAAGTCACTTGACCTTATTTTTAAATAGAAGATACAAAATAGTCCTCCCTTTATAGTGTATTTATAAAGAGAAATTGATGATACCTACAACATTGTAAGTATGCAATAAATGTTTCCTCATATACTGGGGATTAAGAGGAGGAAGATGTAATATGGTTGACATTTCGCTGACCTGTTCAACTAAAAGCCACAAACAATTTGGTGTTTTGTAGTATTATGCATAGGTTGTAGATTCCAGTGTTCAGATGTGATTGCCTTGGCTTGAATTTTTTCTCAGAAAGTCCACACATGAAAGCTAAGTGTTATTTGGAAGGGAATGAGGAAGACCTATCAAACCTCAATAAGATATTTATCAGTTGGTAACCAAATTATAAAGAAATGTTCTGTTTGATTTATAGTCATTGGTTATTCCCAGTCAACTCAAGGATATTTTGTTTTTTCTTAAGACATTGATCTGTATAAAAATGAACTCTAATCATACCGTAAGTCAATAGTTTGTATTTGTGTTAAAAAACAAGCCAAATAATGCTCAATCATTGTGTCTTTTTCTTAATATTTAGCAAATAGTTTTTTTTTGGTGGATTGGACATGCTAATTCAGGCATCATGGCCAACAATAGGACTTTCTATTTGGGTTATATTTATCCTCATCACATTGTTAGAGTTCAGCTGTGGAAGTAAACTACATGACTCATGAAAAATAAATACCATGCAATTTTAAATTAACATTTAGCTGGCCTAGAACAAAAAAATAGCCAAAGATTTCTGTAATAAAACATACGCAAATTAGTTAGATTTACTTTTGAACTTCATTTTGTTATTCCGGGAGTAATCCAAGTCTAATCTATTTATTTCAATTATTTTTAAATTTTGTAATAATTTATTTGATAATAATTTTGTTTTATTTATCTCTCTATTCCACAAACACAAATACAAATAAGAGCTGTTTGGTCTTAAAATGCATACCAGCTGTAGACATGGTTTTGGGTTTGTAACTAGATAGCTAGATTGAACAAATCCCAAACTGGAAAACCGCCAAGCAATGAAGTTTTCAACTTTCACAATGGCAATTTGGAAATTGACTCATTTTTGTGCCTGCACTGAATTGATATTGAATTCTGATTTACATTGTTTTATATAATTGAGTTTTTAAGGACCCATAATGTCTCTCTATTCATATCATAAATTCAATGTCAAATAAGAAAAATTACTGTCATTGAGCATTTTTCCACCATTATGTTATTTAAATGTTACCACAATTTTATGAAAAAAAATTATTTTATTTCCAAACAGAAGCATCTCATGCTTTGGACCTTTTCCTGAAAAAAGTCTAATTCAAAACGGATTGTGTATATGGGTTCGTGTGTGTATGTATCCTGTACCAGGTACAGTCACAGTCCCTGATGTCCCAGACCTTACAATTTCAAATGAAGCCTCAGTTGTTCAATTTCCACTACTGAGCAATCAATTTGCCTGAAGAAGGTAATGGCTACTGGTGGAATGTATTGTTGTCTCACCTGCTGGTGGTTACATTTAAACACGGACTTCTCAAGGGACAGCTTCTATCCCTCCCCCTCCCCCAAAAAATATCTTATAGCAAAAACATGTTAATGTCAGTGGGTGAGAGATTTGCTAACTCGGGAGTCCTTAGCAGAATATTAAACCCTAAAGTCTCTGCAGAATTGATTCCAGACACTTGACACTATTGGGCAGTTCATGTTCAGTTTCTTTCTTCTTCTTCTTCCTCATTGTTGGTAGAAGTTCCAGAGAATACAGTTTTTCTCAAATCCTAATGTGCTCGTGAATCACCTGGGATCCTGCTAACATGCAGATTCTGGTTCAACAGGACTGGGGTGGGGCTTCAGATTCTGCAATTTTAACAAGCCTTTTGGTGATGCTGTTTGTGTTAAACAACATAAAGTACAGCATATACTGCCTAGATAGATGTACTGTATGCTGAACAGCTTGGTACTAAGAAATGAGCTAAATCTTGAAGAAAAAAGACAGGAAAAAAATGCAAACTTTTCCTACAACAAACTGGATATCAGTGTTCATTACCCATTCAGTAATACATGTGGTCATCCTAGCCTAAAATTTGAACTTCAATTACCATTTTATTCTGCTCTACAGTGATTCTCTGTTTCTTTCTTATCTTCTTATCCCACATAGGATTAAATGGGAATAATAAAGTAGGTAATTCCTTTATATAGCTTAAACTGTTTTAGTATCCTTTTATTTAGATCTACACATGATATGCAGATGTTTTCAACTATATTTGATCAGTTTTCTTAAGATTCTAAAATAACTAAATTTTTATAAGTAATATATAATGCTCTCAATAAATGTGCAAAAAAGTTTTTTTCAAAACAACTAAAGCTAAGAAAATTTAATAAGACCTGTTAAATGTTATAGGTAACAAACTGCAGAGCAAACTCTAAAACTCAGATCTGGTAGATACAAATTTCACTGTCCTACTTTTCACTACCTTCATATAGACTGCAGTCAATGTATATATTAAGTTAATGTATCCTTAGGGAGATTATAATCATGTCATGATTAAAAACATCCTGCTGTGAAATGCAATCAGTTTCTTTTACTATAGGGAGTCAGCCAAATTAATCAGCTACCCAATTAGGTATAAATTAATGCCTTTCCCCAATGGTCAAAAGTAAGAAATAGCCTGTGAATCCAAAGATATTATAAGCCATTCTATTGTATATGTCACTCATTTATACTGAAGAAGAAGAGTCTAAAACAATGATTCTTCACTTATGATGTACATTATGAAGGCACTTGCAGGTGCATACTATATGACATATCTAGATTTTGTTCATCTGCAATCAAGTAATTATGAGATTCATTTTTTGTAAATTTCATTATTTTTAACACTGCATTATAAATCTTGACAGAAACCTTTGTGATCTGTATTTTTTTCACCAGCAGAATTGGTCTTTTTAGTGGAAATTTTGTCAAAATGGACAATAATTTAAGAAAATGTGAAAACGAATGATCCCAAGGACCCACATTTAAACAAAGAAAATGTCTCATGCTATAGCTAACACAGTGTTATATTCTGTTCTTTGATAAAACATCAATTGGTAAATAAGTATGACATTAAAAAATTGAATGGATATCAATATTCAATACTCAAGTAGTCACCAGTGTCTATTGTTCTCAGCTCTGTGTCCATGTGTACCCAATCTTTCCTCCTGATTATAAGTGAGAACATGTGGTATTTGATTTGCTGTTTCTGCATTAATTTGCTTAGGATAATGACCTCCAGCTGTATCCATGTTGTTGCAAAAAAACATTATTTCATCCGTTTTATGGCTGTGTAGTATTCCATAGTGTTTATGTATCACATTTTCTTTATCCTGTCCACCTTTGATGGACATCTAGTTTGATTCCATGGCTTTGCTATTGTGAATAGTGCTACAATAAACACAGGTGTCTTTATGGTAGAGCAATTGTTTTGGGGGGTGGTATATAGCCAGTAGTAGGATTTCTGGGTGGAATGGTCATTCTAAGTTCTTTGAGAAATCTCCACACTATTTTTCAAAGTGACTAAACTAATTTGCATTCTCACCAACAGTGTATAAGTGTTCCCTTTTCCCCACAGCTTTGTCAGCATCTGTTATTCATTTTTTAGTAATAGCCATTCTGACAGATTTGATGTATCTCATTGAGGTTTTGATTTGCATTTCTCTAATGACTAGTGACATTGAACATTTTTTCATATATTTGTAGGCTGCATTTATGTATTCTTTTGAGAAGTGTCTATTTATGTCCTTTGCCCATACTTTAATGGGGTTGTTTTATGCTTGTTGAAGTTCCTTATAGATTCTGGACATTAGTCCTCTGTCACATTCATAGTTTGCAAATATTTCCTTCCCTCCTTTCCTTCCTTCCTTCCTTCCTCCCTTCCTTCCTTCCCTCTGTCTCTTTCTCTCACACTCTCCTTCCTTTCTCTCTCTTCCTTCCTTCCCTCTGTCTCTTTCTCTCACACTCTCCTTCCCTTCTCTCCCTTCCTTCCCTCCCTCCCTCCCTCCCTCCCTCCCTCCCTCCCTCCCTCCCTCCTTTCTTTCTTTCTTTCTTTCTTTCTTTCTTTCTTTCTTTCTTTCTTTCTTTCTTTCTTTCTTTCTTTCTTTCTTTCTTCTTTCTCTCTCTCTCTCTCTCTCTTTCTTTCTTTCATTTTTGATGGAGTTTCACTCCTGTTGTTCAGGCTGGAGTGCAATGGCGCAATCTCGGCTCAGTGCAATGGAGTGATCAGGGCAACCTCCGCCTCCTGGGTTCAAACGACTCCCCTCAGCCTCCTGAGTAGCTGGGATTATAGGCATGCACCACCACACCTGGCTAATTTTATATTTTTAGTGGAGATGGGGTTTCTCCATTTTGCTCAGGCTGGTCTGGAACTCCCAACCAAAGGTGATCTGCCCACCTCGGCCTGCAAATATTTTCTTCAACTCTGTATGTTGTCTGTTTACTCTGTTGATAGTTTCTTTTTCTGTGCAGAAGCTCTTTAGTTTAAATAGGTCCCACTTGCCCATTTTTGTTTTTGTTTCAATTGCTTTTGGGGACTTAATCATAAACTCTTTGCCAAGGCTGATGTCCATCATGGTATTTCCTAGGTTTTCTTCTAGGGTTTTTATAGTTTTTGGTATTACATTTAAGCTTTTAATCCAGCTTCAGTTGATTTTTGTATATGGTAAAAGACAGTGATCTGTTCCCATTTTGGCATATAACTAGCCAGTTTTCCCAGGACCATTTATTAAATAGGGAGTCCTTTCCCCATTGCTTGTTATTGTGAACTTTGTCAAAGATCAGATGTGTGTAGGTGTGAAGCTTTATTTCTGGGTTCTCTAACCTATTCCATTGGTCTAAGTGCGTGCTTTATACCAGTACTATGTTGTTTTGGTTATACTACCTTGTAGTATAGTTTGCAGTCTGGTAATATGATGTCTCTGGCTTTCTACCTTTTCCTTAGGATTGTCTTGACTATTTGGGCTCTTTTTATTTCCATATGAATTTTAGATTTTTTCTAATTCTGTGAAAAATGACATTAATAGTTTGATAAGAATAGCATCAAATCTGTGCAATGTTTTGGGCTATATGGCCATTTTAATAATATTGATTTTTGCTATTGATGAGTTTGGAATATTTTTCCACTTGTTTGTGTTATTTCTTATTTCTTTCAGCAGTGTTTTGTAATCTCCTTTCAGAGATCTTTGATTTCTTTGGTTAGCTGTATTCCTGGGTATTTTATTCTTTTCATGGCTATTGTGAATGGGATTGCGCTCAGCTTGAATATTATTGCTATATAGAAATGCTACTGATGTGTGTACATTGATTACATTGATTTTGTACCCTTTAACTTTACCAAAGTTATTTATCAGTTCTAGGAGTCTTTCGGCAGAGTCTGTGGGGTTTCCTAGTTATAGAGTAATATCATCTGCGAAAAGAGACAGTTTGACTTCCTCTCTTCGATTTGTACACCTTTTATTTATTTCTCTTTCCTGACTGTTCTGGCTAGGGCTTCCAGTAGTATGATGAACAAGAGTGGTAAGGGTGGGTATCCTTGTCTTGTTCTAGTTCTCAAGGGGAATGCTTCCAGCTCTTGCCCCTTCAGTATGATGTTGGCTGTTGGTTTGTCATAGATGGGTCTTACTATTTTGATATATGTTCCTTCAATGCCTAGTTTATTGAGAGTTTTAAACATGAACGGATGTTGAATTTTATTGAAAGCCTTTTCTGCATCTCTTGAGATGATCATGTTGTTTTCATTTTGTTTACGAATGACATTAATTGATTTGTGTATGTTGAATCAATCTTGCATCCAAGGATTAAAGCCTATTTCATTGTGATGGATTAGCTTTTAGATGTGCTGTTACTTTTGATTTGCTAGTATTTTGTTGAGAAGTTTTGCATCTATGTGTATCAGGGATATTGGATTGAAGTTTTCTATTTTTGTTGTGTCTCTGCCAGGTTTTGGTACCAGAATGATGCTGGCATTGTAAAATGAGTTACGGAAAAGTCCCTCCTCCTCATTTTTTGAGAATAATTACAGCATGATTGGTACTAGCTTTTCTTTGTATGTCAGTAGAATTTGGCTATTAATCTGGTCCAGGGATTTTTTTGGTTGATAATTTAATATTTTCATAGTCATAGTCCTTACAATGTAACACTGAATCAAAATAATTTTAATTATTGAAATATGTGCTTATTTTCTCACATAATTTGGTGAAGAACATGCCTAATATATTTTTCACCATTTTTTTCAGTCTTTTTATAGCTTTATATTTCAGTATATGGTATATTTGATAGCTGATGAAATTCTTAGTTTCATGTTATAAAAGACTACCTAGAAAAAATTTTCACAAAAAATTATTTGAAGCATATATATAGATATAGATGTTATAGATCTTAATAACTTATTTTTTGCATAAGTCTGTTTTTCCAACAGCTTATCTTTCCCACCACCAATCACCTTCATGCAGAGAACTGGAAGGAAATGGGCCATAGTAATATTTTATCTCTCAATCTGGAAAATCAAAATTCAGCATTATTTCTTTCTCCTTCTTTCTATCACCTGTGATAAGAGAAGTTAATGCCTTCCCTTATTTGATTTCTTTAGCTGTATCTAGTGAGATATTATCTGTTTTGAATACTTAATCATCATCAATTTTTTCTAATTTCCTACTTCTATTAGTAATGTGACCTTGAGAATAATTTTAGTCTTTCAATTTCAGTTTCCTAAGCTGTAAAATAATGAGGTAAGACTAAATCTATCCCACTCCCCAAATTGAACAAAATTTAGACAAATTGATAGTGCAAGTACAAAATGATATTTAGTCAATAAATATATATTGAATATCTATTGTGTGCTTGGTATATAGCAGGTGAAGGAGCTCCTGGGATAATATGTGTTGTCTGTCCTCTATGGATTCAAAGTGTAGTGAAAGAGGCAGACACACACAGAAATCTGTAGAGTAGAATAGACCCATATTTTTATGGAAGTGTATAATAAATCCTAAGACCATAACAGTGAAGTGTTGTGGGAAGTCAGGGACCCCAAATGGAGGGTCTGGCTGAAGCCATGGCAGAAGAACGTGGATTGTGAAGATTTCATGGACATTTGTTAGTTCCCCAAATTAATACTTTTATAATTTCTTATGCCTGTCTTTACTGCAATCTCTAAACATCAATTGTAAAGATTTCATGGACACTTATCACTTCCCCAATCAATACCCTTGTGATTTCCTATGCCTGTCTTTACTTTAATCTCTTAATCCTGTCAGTTGAGGAGGAGGTATGTTGCCTCAGGACCCTGTGATAATTGCATTAACTGCACAAATTGTAGAGCATGTGTGTTTGAACAATATGAAATCTGGGCACCTTGAAAAAAGAACAGGATAACAGCAATGTTTAGGAAACAAGAGAGATAAGCTTAAACTCTGACCACCGGTGAGCCAGGTGGAACAGAGCCATATTTCTCTTCTTTCAAAAGCAAATGGGAGAAATATCGCTGAATTCTTTTTCTCAGCAAGGAGCATCCCTGGGAAAGAGAATACGCGCCTAGGGGTAGGTCTATAGATGGCCCCCCAGGTGTGGCCGTATTTTATGGTCTGTAGACTGCAGGGGTGAAATAGACCCCAGTCTCCCATAGCGCTCCCAGGCTTATTAGGAAGAAGAAATTCCTGCCTAATAAATTTTGGTCAGATTGGTTGCTCTCAAAACCCTGTCTCCTGATAAGATGTTATCAATGACAATGGTGCCTGAAACTTCATTAGCAATTTTAATTTTGCCCCAGTCCGGTCCTGTGGTCCTGTGATCTCACCCTGCCTCTATTTGCCTTGTGATATTCTCTTACCTTGTGAAGTACTTGATGTCTGTGACCCACACCCTATTCATATACTCCCTCCCCTTTTGAAACTCCCTAATAAAAACTTGCTGGTTTTACAGCTTGTGGGGCATCACGGAACCTACAGACATGTGATGTCTCCCCCGGATGCCCCAGCTTTAAAATTTCTCTCTTTTGTACTCTGTCCCTTTATTTCTCAAGCCGGCTGAAGCTCAGGGAAAATAGAAAAGAACCTACGTGACTATCGGGGCAGGTTCCCCGATAGTGAAGTGATTTGTAGACACTAGAGATATACTAGTAAATGAGGCATCTGAGCTGTATCTGGAAAGAGAAAAGGATACTGTAAGCAGAGAAGAGAAAGAACAGCATTCCAGGCAAAGATTAGGAAGCTAAAAAAGTAAAACCTATACTGAAGAATGCTCATGTTGCCAGAGGTCAAATAGGAAGAACGTGACAGATATGGCTAAACCATAAGTTAGGTGAGTATTGACAACAATTTTGTAAATCCTTCTAAGGCAGATGAACTTCCTAAGAAGTTAGAATTATTGAAGCTTTTCAAAGAGGAGATTGATGTCATCAGAACTGCTTTTAGAAAGATAACTCTGCCAGAACTGTGGGAAATGAATTGGAGCAGGGAAACGCCAAAGAAAGTAGTTGATATTGGGCACCTATAAAAATTTAATTATTACTTAATGCATATTACTTTGCAGATGAATAAGGTAGAAGTATTGACCTTTAGTGGACAATGAGTATGACATTCAGAGCACAGATTTTATCAAAATGTGAAATCACCACATGCAAAATTTGATGATTAGATGTGTTCTCTGCAGAGCAGTAAATTTTGGTTCTGGACATTATGAGAAATTCTCAAGCAAATTAGCCTGAGGGAGTTTCCCACAGAGGATGTATTATATCTACAGTGATTATGCTACCATTTATTGTAAGCAAATACATTTTTTACCTTTGAAGACAGTTTACTTCCCTCTTTAATTTTTTTAACTCTATCATACCACTTTCCAATAGGACTTTGTATGCAATGTAGTGTTCTAAATGTACCGTTAAATGTGGTAGCAACAAGTCTCATATTGAAATGGAAATGTAGCTACTGTGACCGGGGAGATGAAAATCTTATGTTATTTAATTTTGATGTGACTAGTGGTTACAAAACTGAATTATGGGACTCCAGCATATATGCACACGTATTAACCAATTTTTAGCACAAGGAATCATGACATCCTGTGATTGCTTTTGAGACAAGATAGTCTTGTATTATATATAATCATTTCATATAATATTCACTTTCACATATACTTCTTTGAAAGTTGATGAACTCTCAAATTCTGGCATTTTGGAAGATAAAAACTGCAGGTAAATATGTGAATGGCAAGAAAATAAATTAGCTTTCTAACAATAACTACATAGATTTTGCTGTTATTGATAGAAAGTTAAAGTAATTTATTATTAGTCTATGATTATTTCATGTTTTTAAGACTATACTCTTAGCCATACATATGCATTTATAAAATATTAAATAATACTCATAATAACTCCCAGAGATTAATTCTATGTGAATGCCTATTAGACAGACTGAAACCTGTAGCAAAAAAAAAAGCATTATTTCCCATGGCACATAGAGTATGTTATAGCCAAATTTCTGTTCGAAGTAATGATAAAACAACAACAATAATAATTAATAATATTAATAATAAATTAATATCAAGTAAGATCAAATCTGTTTAATTCCAGTACTAAATACTATGACCACGTTATACAATTTACTCGTTGGTCAAATAAACATCTTGAAAATTTTTACCCATGTTAATTTTATTTTAACTATTATATTCATTAGTTCCATGAGTCAGAAAAAAACATATACAATATGGCAACTCTAAAAAGTGACTTATTTGGATAATATAACTGAAAAGTCCAGGAGTAGAGTGAGCATAAGACAAAATTTGATCAGACACATGAATGCTATCACTAAGGTCTCTTTTTCTCTTTGTTCCACTTTCCATGGAGCCACTTTGTTCCATGTTGGTTATGGTATTTTTTTCACATCTTGCCTAATTCAAGTACAATAGAAAGAGTAACTACTTATCATAAATCTCAATAAGTCTCATTCATTTCACTGGCTCTGGTGGAGTAATGACATGAGCACCGTAGAATGAATCTCTATGGCCAGGGGAAATGTACATCCTTGAATTGTTTAAATCCAAGTTCTTGTTACTTTTAGCTACCTCACTTGAACAACACGAACTGAGAAGTAGGGCTTCAGAGAAGTGACTTTTTAGAGGAAAATCTGGAAACAAGAAACTGAGTTTCAGGTGGGATGGGTAACAAATGCTAGATAAACAAAAATATATATATTCGAAAGAGGCAATGAAGGCATATGGTTTCCCTCATTTTTTACTGAGAAAAAGAAAATGTCTACTTTTTCTATTTAAGAGACAGTCATATTTTTTATGTTTATTTTTAACAATTTTTATTTTCAAATATATTTAGATTTGTGGAAGATTTGAAGAGACATTTGTCATGTGCCCTTCATCCTGCTCTCCTTAGCATTAACTTCCTACACAGTCATAGTATGTTTATCAAAAATAACAAATTAACATTGTGACATTACTATTAACTGAATTACAGACTTGATTACATTTTTCCATTTTTTTTCACAAGTCTGATATTGATCTGTTCAAGGATCCAATATAGAATGACACATTGCATTTAATCATCTTTAGTCTCCTCCCTAATCTCTAATATGTGATAGTTTTATGTCTTTCAAGATCTTATAGCTTTGCAAAATAGTGGTTGAGTATTTTGTAGATTACCTCTCAATGTTTGATATTTTCTCAAAACAGTTGGAGGTTATTCGATTTGAGGGAAGGAAAGCATATTATAGAAGTGATAAGCCTTACTCTTTGAATCGTATTAGGGAGCATATAACATCAAGATGACCTGCTGTTGATGTTCACTTCGATTACCTGGTTAATGTGATGTTTTCCAGAATTTTCCCATGTCAAGTTGCTGTTTTGTTTTTTTGTCCTCTTTCTATATACCATTCATAGATACCATTTACTAAGAGCTGTGTCACATATGAAGGTTGTTAAACTCTAACTCCTGCAGAAGAGGGTACCAAAAAGTTTATGGCCATATATTTAAACTACTACAGTAGTTACTAAACTTTTGAGGAGATACTTTAAGGCTATGCAAATATTCTGTTTCTTCTTAATGTCCACTAATTTTGACATTAATCAATATATCTTCCCTGTAACAACCATTAGTAATTTTTTAAGAAAAAATATTTTTATAGGCTTCAGAATATTTCATCAAATATATAATATTTGTCAACTTTTAGGTTTGAAATTATTGGCTTAAATAGCTTGAAAATTATTTAAAGGTTAAGTAATTGCCAGGCAGAATAACCAGATTATGCCAAGTTATTGACTTGACTTCGTCAGTGTATTACAGCACACAAGCATTTTTCAAGTAATGCACTCTTTAAGCAGGAAAAAATCTAACAAATTCAAATCATGTTTTGAGCCTTTTCCCCTAGGGGAAAGTCATAATTAGATTATATAGTCATATTTGAAAAGACAAGTAATAAAAAGTCAAGTGTTAAGTTCACAAAAATATGCATTTAACCATTTTTATTTTCCCCTAAATTATCTGGTTGTGCAGGGAAAATGTAATTGAAATAACTTATCTCAGTAACTGAGGCATAAACTCACTTATCTTTTGTTCACGTGTCTTTTGGCAGTGAAGATTATAGGTGAGTAGAGGCAAGCACAAAATACAATAAAAAAAGGAGAGATTTGACCAGAATTTTCTTATTTTTGTGGGTACATTGATCAAAATCATTATATAATCTCATTAATCTTTGTAAAACATGCCTTGTAATTTTACAAATGTAGACTTTGCCAAAATGTTTATATTCTCAGAAGCTGCTGAAATACTTGGATGTCTTAAAATATTTTCACTAAATTTAACAATATTCTTGAACAACATTCTAACACCTGCTTTATTACAAGTGTTCACTTTCATCTTTCAGCTAACCACATCAATTAACTAGTTTTCTGTCTGTTGAAAAGTAAAATATCAATCTTCATATTCTCTGGACATCAGAAAAGAATAGTGGTACAAAGTTGTTTATGAAGTCATTCAAAATTTCATTGTCTTTGAAATGCAGGCTATCATTGCACCCTCCTAAAAGACCTTTGGGATTTGAATCTTTGGTACCAAATATACTTTTTTGCTTGAACATTTATTTGTTTAAGAAACACTCCTAGGACTTATAGTAAGTAATAGGCATAATTATTCACATTTTATAATTACCAACTCATTTAATTTTTGTGTGTGTATGTTTGTGTGTGTGTGTGTGTGTGTGTGTGTGTTTGCTGGTGCACAGGTGTTAGTGATTGAGAAAATGTACTGAGATAGAAACTTTCTTTCGAAATATTTAATATTTAGATAGTAAATCTATTTTTTAGTTGCCCTGATCTAAATAGTTTCCTTTTGGGATATAAACCCTGTTATCATTGATCCATCAAACTTTAATAATGTACAAAAATCCAAATGGCTTAAAATACACCTGGAACCTACTATCTTTATTGAATCCAGATGATATTGAACTGTTTGAACAAATGTCTAAGGGTTCTGAAAATACACCTCTAAAAATAGAGTGAAGAATGGATAAATGCAAGATAGTGGACTTTTATATAAAAACAAATTCATAGATACTTGCCTTTAATATCATGTGCCTTAGAAAACTGAGAATTTAAAATTCAAAATAAATAATAAACCAGGAGCACATGAAAGTTTCTAATAAGTAGTAATGAAGTTCCTAGGTAGACAATTTTTATCTGAAGACCTGCAGGCTCACCATTAATGGACAATACATCTGTTGTAATTCTTGGTCATTATGCTCTGAACTCATGTCTTGGGTTCTATGATAGAAATGTAAAACGAATCATTTCAATATCTATGGCTAAATATAAAAGTATTTCATTTTTTACTATGAATTTTGCATATTACTAAAACATGTAAAATGAAATAATGAATAATAATATTAAAAGAAAGCCCCATATGTTCATAACTTAGCTAAACAAACTATAAATACCCCTTTCAGATTTCTTCTCTTTCTCTGAGCCACACAAAGTAACTACTTCACTTTGTAAAAATTATTATATGTTTTTCCCTATAGTTTTAGTGTATTCACCTCTAAAACAAAATATGCTGGATTTTTGCCTTCCTTTAAACTTTATATGACTTAATACATATATGTTTTTGTAATATGCATAATTTTCTAAAAAATGTATTTTGTAATTTTAGGGTTCATTCATATTTCACCACTAATTTATATTTTATTGTCTGAAAATCCTATAATTTCAAATTAATGCACATTTGAGGGATTTTCTGATTTTTAAAAATCATTTTTGAGGTTTGCGAGCATGTGTGTGTGTGTTTATAATGCTGTAATTACCAGGTCTTGTTCACATCCTTTTGTGCAACTGAGAGTAGAATTGATGGGCTTATTTCTTATATGTATACCTTGTTTTACCAAGTAATACAAAAAGGTACTGATTTATTCTCCCAACAGACTTTTATATTTTGTAAATATGGTGTTTGTGAAATGGCTTTATGGAATGGTACTTCACATCTCAATACGAACATTGAATGTAAATGATGTAAATGCTCTCCTTAAAAGATACAGAATTAAAGAAGGGATAAAAATTCACCAACTATATGCTGCCTTCAAGTGACTCACCTAACACATAAGGACTCAGACAAACTTAAGGTAAAGGGGTGAAAAAGACATTTCAGGAAAATGGTCACCAAGAGCGAGCAAGAGTAGTTATTCTTATATCAGAAAAAACAAACTTTAAAGCAAAAGCAGTTAAAAAGACAAAGAGGGACATTGTATAATGGCAAAAGGCCTTGTCCAACAGGAAAATATATATGCACCTAACAATGGAACTCCCAAATTTATATAACAATTAGTAATAGACCTAAGAAATGAGATAGACAGCAACACGATAATAGTGGGGGACTTCAATACTCCACCAACAGCACTGCACAAGTCATCAAGACAGAAAGTCAACAAAGAAACAATGGATTTAAAATATACCGTGGAACAAATGGACTTAACAGATGTATACAGAACATTCCATTCAACAAGCACAGAATATACATTTTATTCAACAGCGCATGGAACTTACTCCAAGATAGACCACATGATAGGCCAGAAAGCAAACCTCTATAAATTTAAGAAAATTAAAATTATATCAAGCACTCTCTCAGACCACAGTGGAATAAAACTAGAAATCAACTCCAAAAGGAAGCTTCAAAATCATGCAAATACATTGGAAATTAAATAACCTGCTCCTGAATAATCACTGGGTCAAAAATGAAATCAAGATGAAAATTTAAACATTCTTCTAACTAAGTGACAATACGGACATAACCTATCAAAACATCTGGGACATGGCAAAGGCACTGCTAAGAGGAAAGTTCTTAGCCCTAAACACCTACATCAAAAAGTCTGAAAGAGCACAAACAGACTACCTAAGGTCACACCTCAAGGAACTAGAGAAACAAGAACAAACCAAATACAAACCCAGCAGAAGAAAGGAAATAATCAAGATCAGAGTTCAACTAAATGAAATTTAAACAAAAAAATGCAAAAGATAGATAAAACAAAAAGCTTGTTTTGTGGAAAGAGAAATAAAATTGATAGAACATTAGCAAGATTAACCAAGAAAAGTAGAAAAAAAATCAAAATCAGCTTAATAAGAAATGAAATGAGAGATATTACAACTGACACCACAGAAATACAAAAGATCATTCAAGGCTACTAAGAACACCTTTAGGTGCAAAAACTAGAAAAATTAGAAAAGATGAATATATTCCTGGAAAGATGGAAACCTTCTAGCTTATATCAAGAAGAATTAGACACCCCAAACAAATCAATAACAAGCAGCGAGATTGAAATTGTAGTTATAAAATTGCCACCAAAAAAAGTCCAAGAGCAGACAGATTCACAGCAGAATTCTACCAGACATTTAAAGAAAAACTGGTACCAATCTAACACTATTCCACAAGATAGAGAAACAGGGAACCCTCCCTAAAATATTCTATGAAGCCAGTATCACCCTAATACCAAAGCCAGTAAAGGACATAACCAAAAAAGAAAACTACAGACCAATATCCTTGATGAACATAGATGCTAAAATTCTTAACAAAATACTAGCTAATTGAATTTAACAACATACGAGAAAGAAAATCCACCATGATCAAGTGAATTTCATACCAGGGATGCAGGGATGGTTAACATATGCAAATCAATAAATGTGATACACCACATAAACATAATTAAGACAAAAATTGAATGAGGATCTCAATGGATGAAGAAAAAGCATTCGACAAGATCCAGCATTCCTTTATAAATAAAACTCTCAGTAATATCATACAAGGGTCATTCCTCAATATAATAAAAGCCATCTATGACAAACCACAGCCAACACAATACTGAATAGGGAGAAGTTTAAATCATTCCTTCTGAGAACTGGAACAAGACAAGGATGCCCACTCTCACCACTTCTCTTTAACATAGTACTGGAAGTCCTAGCCAGAGAAATCAGACAAAAGAAAGAAATAAAAGCGATCCAAACCGGCAAAGATGTAGACAAACTGTCACTGTTTGTCGTTTGATCGTTTACATAAAAAACCCTAAAAACACCTCCAGTAGCCTCCTAGTACTGACAAAAGAAATCAGCTAAGTTTCCAGATACGAATTAATGTACACAAATCAGTAGCTCTTCTGTATGGCAACAGAGACCACGCTGAGAATCAAATTAAGAACTCAACCCCTTTTACAATAGCTACAAAAAAAAAAATGAGATACTTAGAAATATACCTAACCAAGGAGGGAGGTGTAAGACCTCTACAAGGAAAACTACAAAGCACTGCTGAAAGGAATCATAGATGACACAAGCAAATGAAAACACACCCCATGCTCATGGGTGGGTAGAATCAACATTGTGAAAATGATCATACTGCCAAAAGCAACCTACAAATTCAATGTGATAACCATCAAAATACCACCATCATTCTTCACAGAATTAGAAAAAACAATTCTAAAATTCATATGGAACCAATAAAGAGCCTGCCTAACCAAAGTAAGACTGAGCAAAAAGAACAAATCTGGCAGCATCACATTACTCATTTCTAACTATACTGTAAGTCTATAGTCACCAAAACAGCATGGTACTAGCATAAAAATAGGCACATAGACCAATGGAACAGAATAGAGAACCCAGAAATAAACCCAAATACTTACAGCCAACAGATCTTCAAAAAACCAAACAAAAACATGAAGTGAGGAAAGAACACCCTTTTCAACAAATGGTGCTGGGATAATTGGCTAGACACATGCAGAAGAATAAAAATGGATCCTCATCTCTCACTTTATATAAAAATCAGCTCAAGATGGTCTAAGGACTTTAAAACGTGAAACTATAAAAATTTTAGAAGATAACATTGGAAAAATCCTTCTAGACATTGGCTTAGGCAAAGATTTCATGACCAAGTACCCAAAAGTAAATGCAATAAAAACAAAGATAGATTTCTGGGACTTAATTAAACTGAAGAGCTTTTGCATGGCAAAAGGAACAGTCCACAGATTAAACAGACAACCCACAGAGTGGGAGAAAATCTTCACAATCTGTACATCTGACAAAGGACTAATATCCAGAATTTACAATAAGCTCAAACAAATCAACAAGAAAAAAACAAATGATCACATAAAAAATTGGGCTAAAAACATGAGTAGAAAATTCTCAAAGAAGATATACAAATGGCCAACAAATATATGAAAAAATGCTCAACCTCAGTAATCATCAGGGAAATGCAAATCAAAACCATAATGTGATACCATCTTACTCTTGCAAGAATGGCCATAATCAAAAAATCAAAAATAGTAGATGTTGGCATTTATGCTGTGAACAGGGAACACTTCTACACTCTTGATGGGAATGTAAACTAGTACAATCACTATGGAAAACAGTGTGGAGATTCCTTAAAGAACTAAAAGTAGAACTACAATTTGATCTCGCAATCCCACTACTGCGTATCTACCAAGTGGAAAAGATGCGATTATACAAAAAAGATACTTGCACACACATGTTTATAGCAGCACAATTCACAATTGCAAAAACGTGGAAGCAATCCAAATGCCCATCAATCAATGAGTGGATAAAGAAACTATGGTATACATACACGATGGAATACTACTCAGCCACATAAGGAAATGACTAATGGCATTCCCAGCCGCCTGGATGAGACTGGAGACTATTATTCTAAGTGAAGTAACTCAGGAATGAAAAACCAAACATTGTATGATCTCACTTGTAAGTGGGAGCTAAGCTATGAGGATGCCAAGGCATAAGAGTGACACAATGGACTTTAGGGACACAGGGGGAAAGGCTGGGAAGGGGTGAGGGATAAAAGACTACAAATAGGGTGCAGTGTATACTGCTCAGGTGATGGGTGCACCACAGTCTTGCAAATCAATGTACTCATGTAACAAAACACCACCTGCTCCCAAATAACGTGTGAAAAAAAAATTTTTTAAATGTGAAGTAAAAGGAAGTGCTCAGCTTGTTGAAACAGGGAAAACTTACGCACCACTCCTTAGTCATTTAGTCTTCATAAAAGACTCAAGCATGTTTTTCCCTGATTGATATTATGATGGCATAGGTATGTGGATTTGCCTGGAACCACTCATGGTTTTTAATTTTAAAAACAATCCTTTCTAACAAAACTTTAATAGACTCTTTAGAAAGTTCCAGGAAGCACAATGTTATGATTAATATTGATTTGCTGCTTGGTTTAATATGGAAATAGTACAAATATAGTTCAATTTCTCATATCTTAACAGATTGTAGACTAGCTCAAATCTTAAAATAATTTCTGCATCATTGACTTATTTCCTTTCTTATTTGAATGATCTGGAAAAATCTTGTAATTCTTTTGTTTGTACAGAAACAAAGTCATGTCAAATAAATGAAGCTAAACTTAAAAAAAATCTGTTTCTCTGGGTATTAAGTCAGGATTTTCAAAAATTCAATTTTCTCCACATATAGCACTTTCTTATCTCTAAAAACTTTTCACTTCTTACTTATGTTACTTATTCATGCAGTAACAATTAGTTTAACTATAAAATATCTACAAAACTTATTTTATAAAGTTCTTTTCTTCAAAGTTCTAGATATGGGAACTCAAGTCATATGCATACTAATTCAAGAGTATATATTTATAATACACTTATAATATTTATAATGCATTTATTTTAATATGTGTATAATGAGCATATTTGTAATATATTTATAAATGCCATGTAAACAGTGGTATAAAATTAGTGTAACTACAGAAGTTCAGAGAGGAGTAAACATTTTTGTATACCAGCATGTCAGGAATGGCTACATAGTGAGCCTAAAACCTCAAGTGGTACCTGAAAGCTGGGTAGGTATTTCCTCAACAACTCTCCTTGACTAAGGTTGTGTTCTATGTAAATTGCAGTGAACATTTACCACTCATCTTATCATTTGGTATAAGTTTCTGAAGGCAGAGTCTGAATCTTGTTTACCTTTTATAATAGTGGATAGTAATAATTTCTATTTTCTTTATTTATACTATATTTAAAGTTTTAAAAAGTGTTTCCTAGTTATTTTTATTACCACAAAACTTTGTGAATAAG